>NW_025791798.1:0-204007 GCF_000001405.40 Homo sapiens
CAGCCCATGAAGACTCTTTTTTTTTTGAGATGGAGCTGCTATGCCGCCCAGGCTGGAGTGCAGTGGCGCAATCTCAGCTCACTGCAACCTCCGCCTCCCTGGTTCAAGCGATTCTCCTGTCTCAGCCTTGAAGTAGCTGGGAGTACAGGCACGCACCACCATGCCCAGCTAATTTGTTTGTATTTTTAATAGAGATAGGGGTTCACCACGTTGGCCAGGCTGGTCTCAAACTCCTGGCCTCAAGTTATCCGCCCACCTCAGCCTCCCAAAGTGCTGGGATTACAGGCGTGAGCCACTTGCACCCAGCCGAGACTCTACTCTTAAAGTCACCTAAGTTTAGGAGGAAAAAAAGATATTGAGTATATACTCAGGGTATAATACTGTGTTAGATGTAGTCTCCTTTACACACTATTGCTGCTGATAATGACAGTAAAAGCTCTCTGCCTCCACAGCTGTCTGACCTTTTATAAATTATATGAAGTTTTGATTTGCATTTCTCTGATGATTTCAGTGATGAGCATTTCACACCAGTCAGAATGGCAATTATTAAAAAGTCAAAAATAACAGATGTTGGCAAGGCTGTGGAGAAAAAGAAATGCTTATACACTGCTGGTGGGAATGTAAATTAGTTCAGTCACTGTGGAAAGCAATTTGGAGATTCCTCAGAGAACTTAGAACTACCATTCCACCCGGCAATCCCATTACTGGGTATATACCCAAAGGAAAATAAATCATTCTACCAAAAAGACACATGCACTTGTATGTTCATTACATACAATTGAAACCCAACCTTCAAGCCAAAGACAGTTTAAAGCCTAGCTACAAGTCCTGGATAAATCCATGGACTGAACTGAGAACCTCTCTTCCCGTTTGGCATACTTTCCTCTAATTGATTCTCCACTCTTTACCTATTTTACATATATCTACCCTTCCCTAATTGGTTTTTTACACTGTGTGCCTTTGTTTTAGCCTTTTTTTGCATACTCACAAACCAATGAGCATACACTCCCCTATTCTGAGCCCATAAAGGCCCCAGCCCCAGCCCCAATGAGAGAGACCACCCTCGCATGCCCTCTCCACTGAGAATTGTTTCTCATCATTCAATAAAATTATTCTCCGCCCTCCTCACCCTTTGATATCAGCACAACCTCATTCTTCTTGGATGTGGAACAAGAACTCAGGACCCACCAAACACAGGTACAAAGAAGGCTGTAATACTGTGGCCCTCCACGCTCTGCCAGTGGAGGGCAGCTACCCCACGCGACGGGAAGCAGCAGCGGGCGGGAGCAGGGGCGACAGGACAGACAGAGCTGTTAACATGCCGCCATCCATGGGGCTGCAGATGGTGGGACTAAAAGAGCTATTAGCACACGGTAACACCCCCTCTGAGGTTTCAGGGTTGCGGACACCCGTCTGGGCGCCACCATGTTCCCCTCAGTGTGACATGCCTGGTCCAGCAGCAATCCCTACATACAGCCCGCTTCTGTCTCACTGCTTGGAGCAGCCAGCTGGACACTGCACTCGCTCACTCCCTCACCCCCTCCCACCAGTGCGCAATTGCCACGGCTGCAGGATCTGCATTGGAGCGCAAGCCAGGCATAGCCCAGCAGGATGAATAGACAGGGCATCTCTTCTGGTGAGCTCGGGCCTGAGCAAAGCCTGGGCATGGATGTTGCTGGCTGGAGGTCTCTGGCTGGCAAAGTGGCCAAGAAAAATCCTGTGTCACTATGCTTCCTACTTGGGTGAAAGGATTACCCATACCCCAATCCTCAGCATCATGCAATATACACATGTAACAAACCTGTACATGTACCCTCTAAATCCAAAATAAAAGTTGAAAAAAAATAGGGCAGGCATGGTGGCTCATGCCTGTAATCCTAGAACTTTGGGAGGCCCAGGTGGGAGACTGCTAGAGTCCAGGAGTTCTGGACCAGCCTGGGCAACATTGAGACCCTGCCTCAACAAAAAAAATTAAAAAATTAGCAGGGCATGGTGGTGCATGCTTATAGTTCTAGCTATTCAGGCAGGAGGATTCCTTGAGCCCAGGAGTTCAAGACTGCAAGTAAGCTGTGACTGATCCACTGCACTCCAGCCTGGGCAACAGGGTGAGACCCTGTCTCGGGGCAGGTTTGTGGGGGAGTTGAAAAAAGAAAAAAAATTATGTCATTTAACTATTATTTTTGTACAAACCCTTCCACATTTTTTTTTAATGTTAAAAGAGGCATCTGACAAAAATTCGGTGAAAGAGCTATGAGGAAAAAAAGGAGACCAGGCCCATAAGACAGCAAACTTTATTTGAGCACTTCCTTAACTTTGTTTCATTATTATGCAAAAGTTATATAATTACAGAGTCTGGAAGGAGAGAAGAGAAAAAAAAACATAAATGCTATTAAAAGCCAAGATTTTCAATACTGGGGAAATAAATACCAATATAAAAATTAAAGAATTAAAAACCCTATAAGCTTAAATGTATAAGGATGGGCTTGAGAAACAGTCAATAAACTATCAAAATTACTGGGTCACATCAAAGGGCACAGAGCCAAACTGAAGGGGTTCCCAATGCCCCAAAATGGAATAATACAAACATTAAAAATAAATAATGTGATGGATTGAAATGCAAATTTATGAAATACTCAAAATGATATTCTGAAAAAGTCACCTTTGCGGGGTTAAGGAAACAACACATGACTCTGAAAAATGACATTAATAAATAGAAAAAAAAAAATGGAAAGAAGTAAGCAATCATCTTGCCTTTCTTGTGCCAACTGTATTTCAGGGTAACCAATAATTAAAAGAAAATTTCTTCCTTATA
Source organism: Homo sapiens (assembly GCF_000001405.40). NCBI lineage: Eukaryota > Metazoa > Chordata > Mammalia > Primates > Hominidae > Homo > Homo sapiens. The sequence continues at coordinate 2,813 of NW_025791798.1, forward strand.
GAAGCATTCCAGCTAATTAATGATAGATGGAATGACAGAAAAAAATCACTAATAAAATAACAGATTTAGGCAACGATAATCAATGGTTGTTAAAACCATTAGGTGAAAGGCTGAGGCAAAACTTTACAATGGATGGATCAGGCTGATCTGGAGCCTGCTTATCAGCTTTAACATCTCTGAAGGTATGACAACACAATCTCCTGTAATACAATGAAAAATACACTGTACAAGCTATGATGTATTCTTTCCAAAAGAATGGAAGTTGAATCTAATCAAGCCTCGAAATCTAACTATCAGTTCAAGGAAAACACAAAGGAGGAATATGTTAAACATTAGAAGGATCTAATCACCAAATTCAGAATGTGAGAAATTTTACAAGATGATCTGACTTCTTCAGCAAATAAATGGCATAAACTTAAAAGGTGAACTTTTATAGATAAAAGAGACTTAAAAGACATATCAACTAATTGCAAATGAACATTGTTAGGATCCTGACTCAACACATCAAAGGTAAAAAGGCATTTTTGAAACAAAAAATAAGAGAAAATATATCACTCTTTTTTTTAAAAAGGGCAAGTAAAATCATATGATGTCTGGAATTTTCTTTAAAACAGTTTAGGGAAAAATTAGGTAGGGTCTTCAAAACAGATTTGTAACATTGATGAAGCTGGGTGATGCATTCATAAAAGTTCATTATGCTATTCTACTTTTCTGTACCTTTGATATTTTCAGTAACAAAAAGTTATAAATAGAAAAATGTAATTCTTTTCCTCTTCTTAATGGCTCCAGAAAATTCTAAAGAGTATAGCTTAGGCTGGGTGCAGTGGCTCATGCCTGTAATCCCAACACTTTAGGAGGCCGAGGCGGGCGAATCACGAGGTCAGGAGATTGAGACCATCCTGGCTAACACGGTGAAACCCTGTCTCTACTAAAAAATACAAAAAATTAGCCGGGCGTGGTGGCAGCCGCCTGTAGTCCCAGCTACTTGGGAGGCTGAGGCAGGAGAATGGCATAAACCCAGGAGGCGGAGCTTGCAGTGAGCCGAGATCGTGCCACTGCACTCCAGCCTGGGCGACAGAGCGAGACTCCGTCTCAAAAAAAAGAGTATAGCTTAAAATTATCACCACTTCTGAGTAATTCATTTATTCAACTAATATTTATTAAATTCCTAGGATGTACTGGATACTGTTCTGGGTCCTAGAGATATAGCAGTGGACATGGCAGTTAAAGACCCTGCCTTTACTGTGCATATACTGAAGTTACAGAAGACAGAAAGTAAGTAAAAACAACAACAGCAATTAAAAAAAAAAAAACAAACAAAAAAGACAAAATAAAAACAAAAAAACCCAAAAAGAATTTCAAGAAGTGGTAAGTTCAAGGAAGAAAATCAAATAGGTACTGGGAGAGACTGTGACTAGGGAGGGGAATGACGACTTCATGTAAGATCATTGGTGTGCTGATAACAGCCTCTAAAGAATTAAAACAAATCCGACTTACAGTACTTGACAATTTCTGTGGTATAAATACTCACACATGGCCATTTTCAAACTACTAATGTGAAGACAATGAACCTGGTTTTGGGAAGAGATTTGCATTAACTGGCTCTTGTGAGCTGGTATAAGCTGGCTGCAGCACACTCCTGGCATAGGATAGTAAGGAAAAGCCTACATTTCAGGCAGAGGGAACACAGCAATTTTAAAAGATCCTAAAGCAGAACCAATTCAAGTGAATTCATAAAGCAGAAAGGACAATATAGCTAAAGGACAGTGAGGAAAGGAGAGCATATTTAGAAAGACAGAAAGGAGCCAGACCACGTAAGTTAGTTAATGGATAGATTTTCCAAAGGAGAGAGTAATGTGAGAGTGTGCTAATAGTTCATTTGGGAAGCAGGGGTAATACAGAAAGCTTTTTTTTTTTTTTTTTTTTTTTAAGAAGAGATTATAAAGAAGCAGAAAAAGTGGGACAAATAATTTAGGATGGCACAATGGTCCAAGCATATCAATAAAACCAGTAATGTAAATAGACTAAGACAAAGATTGACAGACTGGATTAAACAATAAAATCTAGACATATACTATTTATAAGAGATATAAGGACATACAAAAGCTGAACATTAAGAAAACATTAAGGAAAGAGATATATCAGGCAAATACTAACCAAAAGAAAGCTGATATAATTTTATTAGTATCAGATAAATTTATGAGAAACATTTTATTAGGTATTAGAAGGTAACCACATAATAACAAAAGGTTTAATCCACCAAGAAGGCATGACAGTTTTGTTTATACCACATAATAACAAAAGGTTTAATCCACCAAGAAGTCATGCCAATTTTATTTATCATTATTATTATTTTTTGAGACAGGGTCTCACTCTTACGCCCAGGCTGGAGTACAGTGGTGCGATCACAGCTCACTGCAGCCTCAGCCTCCTGGGCCCAAGAGATCCTCCCACCTCAGCCTCCCAAGTAGCTAGGACTACAGGCTTATGCCACCATGAAGAGCTAATTTTTGGATTTTTTGTAGAGATGAGGTTTTGCTATGTTGCCTCGTATTCCTAGACTCAAGCCATCAGCCTGCCTCAACCTCCCAAAGTGCTGGGATTACAGGTGTGAGCCACCGGGCCTGGCTGGCACAACAATTTTAGACATACATCTATTGTTTAGTTATTATTATTATTTTGCTCAACAAATTACCTCCAAATTTATTGGCATTTTAAACAACACAGTTTATCATCTATTTGTTTGGGTTGGATTTTTAAAAGTCTGACAATCTGTCTTTTCAACTGCCAAGTTTAGTCCATCAACCTTAGTGATTAATATATTTAGACAGGGTTCTAACATCTTTTTATTTGTTTTTTCTCTATGACTCATTCTCATCCTCTATCTCTCCCACTCTTTGGATTTTCTGGTTTGTTTTTCCTTAATGACATTTTCCCCTCTAGTTTCCATTCTCTATTTCTGTTCTTTCAGCAATTACCCTTGAAATTTTACTATATATCTTAAATTGTTAAATAAGTTTAAACAATTGCTTGACATCCTCCTGAACAACACGAAGACTTTCTAATACTTCAATTCCAATTTTCTCCTCCTGACTTACCTAATATTGGTGTCCAACGTTCCCAGTAGTCTCTTTTTAAAAAAAAAAAAAACTCCATAAATAAGATATTAGAGTTGTTTTATTGAGACAACACTGATTTGAGTCGATGTACAAGTTTACTAGTTCATTTATTCACTACTCTTTCTTACATTTCAGACTACTAGTCTTCTAGGATCATTTTATTCTTTCTTGAGGTATATTCCTTAGAATTCCTTTAGGTTTCTCAAACTCAGCACTATGGAATTTTGGAGCAAATAATTACTGTGAGGGACTGTCCTGTGCACTGTAGAATATTTAAGAGCATCCCTGGCCTCTACTCATTAGATGCCAGTAGCACCTCCAGTAGTGACTGTCAGAGATGTCTCCAGGCTGGGCGCAGCAGCCCTCTCCTGTAATCCCAGCTCTTTGGGAGGCCATGGCAGGAGGACTGCTTGAGGGCAGGAGTTTGAGACTAGCATGAGCAACATTGTGAGACCTTGTCTCTACAAAATTTTTGTGTACACTTATTTGTGTTTTCTGGCTTGTAACTTTGTGTTTTGGTACTGAGAATTCTTCTGTCATTCTGTTGTTCCTTTGATGAACTGTCCTTTCTCTCTGGCTGCTTTCAAGATCTTTTCTTAGATTTTCTGCAGTTTCATTAAGATGTATCTAGGTGTAGTTCTTTTTGTTTACGCTATTTACCTACTACTAAGCTACTGTTTAATTTCTTTTTTATATCTATATATATTTTTTCTTTTCTAGAATTTCCATTTATTTTCCTTCTCTTTAAACAGTCTTTTATTCCTGAGGAGTTTGCTCATCTTCCTAACTGCATCCTCTACTGATTTAAACATTTAATAGAATTTTGTATCCCAGACTCAGGACCATGTCATTTCTCTTGAGGGTTATGGAAGTAAGAGTTCAACATACTACCTCTCTGCTATTCAATAACCTTACAATGATGCTGTTACAAAAATCTGGCATGAGACAATCCTGTCCCATTCTGCTACCTGCTGTCCAAGCCACCTCCTAGCAGCTCTGGCTTGCCTTGTCTTATTATCATCAGACAGTCTGGATCCTGGCTGTTTCTGGCCCACCTTCCATTTGCTTGCTTACTTTTTTTAGAAAGGTAGAAGAATATCCCTGGAGATTTTTGTCTACATTTTATGAGACCAATGATGCCTCCAACCAATAATGTCCTACTCATGGTCTACTTGTGGTAGTGTTGTGCAATGGGAGGCTCCCAAAGAGTTCCTGGTCAATCATGGCTTGTGGACAGTCATGAAAGGTCAAGGCTTTCCAAGGCAAGAAATGAAGCATTCATCAAGTGTGGTTATACCAAAAGGCATGAAATTAGAAGTGATTATATTGAAAGGCAAGGATTAATTTTTGGCTTGAATATCTTGGTGGGAAACCATGCTGCTTTAGAGTTCAGCCTTCAAAAGTTTAGGTCACTGTTGTGACCCCAAGAAATACCAGATGGAATGGAACTTCTAGTTTCTGAGTAGCAAATAATCTTTACTCTGCAGGAACTAAGAACCAAATCCATATTCCAGGGCTCTTTTAGGATTATTCAGAATCCTAAAATGACTCCTTTGAAGGATCCCCACTGAGACTGGCCTCAGTAATGGTTTGCATTACATCACCTGTCAGATTACTATTATGTTTCTTTTTTTCTTTCTTTCTTTTTTTTTTTGAGACGGAGTCTTGCTCTGTTGCCCAGTCTGCAGTGCAGTGGCACAATCTCAGCAGACTGCGACCTCCGCCTCCAGGGTTCAAGCAATTCTCCTACCTCAGCCTCCCGAGTAGCTGGAATTATAGGCGCCTGCCACCATGCCTGGCTAATTTTTTGTATTTTTAGTAGACATGGGGTTTTGCCATGTTGGCCAGGCTGGTCTTGAACTCCTGACCTCAGGTGATCCACCCACCTCAGCCTCCCAAACTGCTGGGATTACAGGTGTGAGCCACTGCGCCCAGACACTATTATGTTTCTTTTTTCTCATTTTACTATCTAAATAATGCTGACATTTTTGGGAAACTTACTGGTGTTTCACTGCATAATTCAAATGAAAACTGATAGGATAATTCTACTAAATATTTCAGATTTCTGTTTTTCATGGCATATTTTTTTTTTGTAAACAGAAAAAAGGTATACCAAAGGTCTTACTCTTTATATAAACACTTTACTGTTGTGATGTTATTACTTCTATAATGTTGCATTTGTCAATTACCACTTATACTATAATTTGGGCCCTAGATAAATCTCAAGTTACTCCTTTAGCTTCCTGATCTTGTCAAATGGCCTTTGCTAGTCTGAGTTAGGCAAGAGAGCAGTAGGTGTACCTAATTTCCCTTGGCACAGGTTTGGGTTTGTACTATGTGACTATGTGAATCTGAAAGGTTATCCCAAATGCTACATGTTTTTGATTTTATACTTTGTTTTGCCATTGATGTGTTAAGGAAACCATGTCATTTGTCCTGGAGAGTTTCTGATGGTCTGGGTTTTGATCATGGCATCCATGTGATGCTGTTTAACATGCTCTTTTTTTTTTTGTAATTCCTATAAATTGGTAGTTGAATCTAAAAGCTTAATCACATTCAGTACTTCTAGGAGGGTAGGGAGGAAAACTACTTCACAGTGGTATTATGAACTGCCAGGAGGTACATGTCATTGTCATCTGGTTGTCTTTCCTTTTGAGATATTAGCAATTGTTGATGAGTAATGCCTAGCTCCATTAATTTATGAGAGGTCACCAAATGGTAATATTCTCATTCTATTATTGTTCCTTCATTTATTAGCTAGAATACCTCTATAAAAAGAGACATTTCCTTTAATCTACTATTTGATTACCAAGTGGTTCAGTTAAAAACAGGACGAATAATTCTTTCCCTTTACTGACCAGTTCTCAGAATAATTGGTTCACTAAATACTCCAATGGTGACCAGTTAGTTGTGGGTTTTGTTTTGTTTTAGAGACAGGGTATCACTCTGTCGCGGAGTACAGTGGCACCATCACAGCTTACTGTAGCCTCCAGAGTAGCTAGGACTACAGGTGTGTGCCACCATGCCAGGCTAATTATTTTTTGCTTTTTTGTAGAGATGGGTTCTTGCAATGTTGCCCAGTCTGATCTTGAACCCCTGGCCTCAAGTAATCCTCCTACCTCCCTCCTCAGCCTCCTAAAGTGCTGGGACTACAGGCGTGTGCCATTGTGCCTGGCTCATTTTTTAAATTATCATTATGAACTCATAAACTTAAATACTGGGTTTTTACTGTATTAGCCCTTCCTCATGCTGCTATGAAGAAATACCCAAGACTGGGTAATTTATAAAGAAAAGAGGTTTGGCTGAGCACAATGGCTCACACCTCTAATCCCAGCACTTTGGGAGGACGAGACAGGCGGATCACTTGAGGCTTGGAGTTTGAGACTAGACTGGACAACATGGTGAAACCCCGTCTCCACTGAAAATACAAAAATTAGCCAGGTGTGATGGTGGGTCCCTGTAATCCCAGCCACTTGGGAGGCTGAGGAAGGAGAATCACTTGAACCTGGGAGATGGAGGTTGCAGTAAGCCGAGATCATGCCACTGTACTCCAGCCTGGGTGACAGAGCAAGATTCCATCTCAAAAAACAAAACAAAACAAAACAAAAAACAAAAAAAAAAAAAAGAGAGAGAGAAAAGAGGTTTAATTGACTCCAAGTTCAGCATGGCTAGGGAAGCCTCAGGAAACTTATAATCATGGTGGAAGGCCCCTCTTCACAGGGCAGCAGGAGAGAGAATGAGTGCAAGGAGGGGAAATGCGTGATGCTTATAAAACCATCAGATCTCATGAGACTCACTCACAATCATAAGAACATAGAGGAAACCGCCCCCATGATTGTTACCTCCCACAAAACGTGAGGATTATGGGAATTACAAGTCAAGATGAGTGGGGGGAGACACAGCCAAACCATATCAGGTATGTTTCAAATCAAATGCTTTTTCAACCTCTATTAAGATTATTATACAATATTTTTCTTTTAATTTGTTAACATAGTGAATTATATAAATTAACTTTCAATATTAAACCAACCATGGATTTCTAGCAGAAACTCAACTTGATGAGGGGATAATTTAAAAAAATATGTTGCCCGATTCAGATTGCAAATATTTCGTTCAGGATTGTAGATATGTTCCTAAGTAAGGTTGGCCTATACTTTTTTTTTTTTTTAATCTCATGTTGCCATTCTTAAGTTTTGGTTATCAAGGTTGCAAAAGCCTCAAAACTGAGGTAGTAGTTACTTGGTTTTCTATTCCTTATGAGAGACTGACTGCAGAAGACTCGAATTATTTTTCCTTGGATGCCTGATAAAACTTTTAATAATGCCAGGACCCATGGCTTGTTTGCTTGCTAGCTTTCTAAAAATTTTTTTAAGTGCAAAGCTACACACACACACACACACACACACACACAGAAAAGTTCATAAATCACAGGTGTACAGCTTGATTATTACAACAGCAGTTTCACCCTCCCGTATATCTCCTCAGCCTGACCCTGAGTTTTGCAAGAGACCCGATGAGTCAGTGGGAACAGTAGATACATTAAAATAACTGTGCCCTGTTGACAGTAAAAACATTTAGAAGGACTGGAAAGGGCTTTTATATATCCAATTCAACAGCAAAGGTCTGAAAGATGTTATTACAAATTCAATTAAGCAGGCAAGGCAATTGAACCAGTTTTTCACCTACCAGGCCAAATTATCCTAAACAAGGTTTTTAGGGAGAGCTGGGAAGATTTTCTTTTTTTTTCTTTTTCTTTTTTTGTTTTTGTTTTTTTTGAGACAGAGTCTCACTCTGCCGCCCAGGCTAGAATGCAGTGGTGCGATCTTGGCTCACTGCAACCTCCACCTCCTGGTTCAAGCGATTCTCCTGCCTCAGCCTCCCAAGTAGCTGGGACTACAGGCACCCGCCACCATGCCCGGCCAATTTTTTTTAAGTAGACATGGGGTTTCACCATCTTGGCTAGGCTGGTCTCGAACTCCTGACCTTGCGATCCACTTGCTTTGGCCTCCCAAAGTGCTGGGATTACAGGCGTGGTGAACCACGGCGCCTGGTTGGAAGATTTTCATTCAACCTTATAATGCCTTTTCTGAGTAACTTATCAGATGGTTAGAAAATACAACAAAAAAAATCTTTCAGTCTTTTGCAAACTCATGAATTTCTTTTAATTAAACCAGACTTTTAAAGGTTTTGAGGCTACAGCTAAAACAAAGATACTTAAGACAGAAGACAGAAGAGGATAGTTCTTCAGAGCATGAGAAAAAAGGAAAATATGATCTGACTCCATGAATCTAGGAGAGAGAACTCAGGCTGGCAGGATGGACATACCTGATAATCTGGCCAGAAGACTGGATGAATCCTCAGGTTGGCTAAAAATTGAATGCAACTGTAGGCTGCCAAATGAGATTAATGTTTGAAGCAGTCTCTTTGCAAATACTATTAGAATTTTTTGGCTAATAATGACTAAGATAACTCTTCCTTCATAATCAAAGTTACTTATTTTTGCCTACAGTTCCCCAGGTATCCTTTACTGCAGGTGATTAGCTGGGAACAAAATCCAGCTTAGTAATACTAGAACTGTATCAACTTTTGACTGTCCATTTCACTAGCTAAGCTGCCTCCATTGTACATGTGTTCCTGATAATGAACTATTCTCAAACATCTCTGCCTGTCATGTATGTATCAGGGACAGAAACACTTTCATAGTTTAGAGGAAAGATGTTCTTTTCATGGTCTGGCAAAATTTTTCAATGAAAGTTTAATCGTTCCTGATCCAAATATAAAATTTTTATATACAGAAGACTAATTTTGAGCAATGTATAGAAACTATCCAATATAAAAGTATAAAAAAGTGGCCGGGAGTGGTGGCTCATGCCTGTAATCCCAGCACTTTGAGAGGCCACAGTGGGTGGGTCACCTGAGGTCAGTAGTTCGAGACCAGCCTGACCAATAGGGCGAAACCTTGACTCTACTAAAAATACAAAAATGAGCCAGGCGCTGTGGCGTGCACCTGTAGTCCCAGCTACTCAGGAGGCTGAGGCCAGAGAACTGCTTGAATCTGAGAGGTGGAGGTTGCAGTGAGCCAAGATCGTGCCACCGCACTCCAGCCTGGGTGACAGATCAAGACTCCATCTCAAAAAAACCAAAAACCAAAAAAACAAAAAACCTCTAACATCACACGGTCAGGACCTTGGTGATCAGATTTGTATATTTATGTCAAACCATTTACTTAACAAATATATACTGAGTGCCTAGGATGTCAGGTACTGTTTCAGCATATAAACTCACTAAAGGAATGAGGGCTATGGTCTCATAAACTCTTCTCATTAACCCAAGGACTATCCTAAGTCTTTAATATAGAAAGAACGAAAAAGGAGTATCCCAGTTTCTTCAACTAATCCTCTGAAGTTTTTACTTTCCCTACTTTGGACTTTTTGATAGCTTATTTTTCCATAGCTGCTTTACACATATTTAAACAGCTAAAAGCTCAGCAGGGATCAAAATAAGCCTCAAATCAAAGCATACATAGACACACAAGTGTTAAATACCAAATAATATACTAAAAATTACTTAACCTCACTTACACTGAAGGAAGTATAAATAAAAAACTAGAGATGCCATTTTCACCTATTAGGTAAAGAAACTATTTTAAGATTAATAATACCTGTTTTTTTTTTTATTATAGAGAGTCAAGCATTACTCCATACTGGTGAGAGTTTAAGCTGATGTATCTTTTTAAACATGTACATATCTTTTGAGTAAGGAATTCCACTGTTAGGAATTTACCCTACAAATATACTGGCATTAAGACTGATATATCTATCTTATATACTGGATATAAGTATAAGATATTCATTGCAACACAACTTACAACAGTAACACACTTGGAAATACATGCTCATGAGTAGGAAACTGGCTGAATAAAATTATAGTGCAGGAGCACAATGAAATACTCTTCCATCACAAACAAAGGAATGAAGCAGAACTTTATGTACTAAGATGTCCAAGGTAAAATGTTAAGTAAAAAGAAGCAGTCTGTATAATAGAACAGTCCATTTACTATAACACCATTGATATAAAAAGGAAAAGATAGTCATATATAATACAAAAATTTATAATTAAAAATTTCTAGAAGAATTCCCAAGAAACTGTCAACAGCAAGTACTTTTAAGAGGTGGAAATGAGGTGGTAAGAAGAAGAGATACTTTTACTTTCTTTATATATGCCTTTTGTTTGAGCTGAATGCCTCATCAGGGTATGTTTCTTTTTACACTTTGAAAATTTATCAGTCCTGAGGTCTTGTGAAATTCCTGTCAAGGCCGGGTGCAGTGGCTCACACCTGTAATCCCAGCATTTTGGGAGGCAGAGGTGGGCGGATCACGAGGTCAGGAGATGGAGACCATCCTGGCCGACATGGTGAAACCCTGTCTGTACTAAAAATACAAAAATTAGCTGGGTGTGGTGGCGGGCGCCTGTAGTCCCAGCTACTTGGGAGGCTGAGGCAGGAGAATGGCATGAACCTGGGAGGCGGAGCTTGCAGTGAGTGGAGATCGCACCACTGCACTCCAGCCTGGTGACAGAGCGAGACACTGTCTCAAAAAAAAAAAGAGAAATTCTTGTCAAATTATGCACTTACTTTAAAGAAGTGGTACCCAGAGGAAGTAAATTCATTTCCATAATTTGTTTCATAGATAAGGAACTGGAACACCAAATTCTAAGGACTGCTTAAGGACATACTGTTTATGAAGTACTTTCAATAATTAAAAAGGGGATCAAAAGGCCAAGAAAAGTAATAAAAAGGGAAAATTAGCTGCAAAGTCAGATATTACAAAGCTATTATAATATCTTCTTTTCCAAATTATCTTTAAAAAATTCTAGTTCTTAGATTTTTTTTAACCATAAACCATGCAAAATTACTTTTTAATTTAACTGAGTCTTAGTAATCAATTATAGAAGTAGTTTCCTAAAACTTGGCAAGTTGGGAATAGAAACAGCAGGAAAAAAGTTGTTGGGTGGGAAGTAGAAAAGGAGGGGATAGAAAATAGAATCAGAGAAGGGAGTAATGTCTGTTAGGATAAATGAGTTAAGGGTGACTTTGGATAAAGTCAATCCCCACAGTAATACTATACCTAACAGTTGGCTGTGTTCCCCTGTGATGGAGTTCTGACTCAGGTCTGAAAAACAAACAATTGAAAAGAAAAGAAAAAAATGAATGATCAAAACAAATAATTTCTTTAAAATCAGCAACAAAAGTCAACCAAGGAAATAAGCAAAAAAATTTAAAAACTTATGAAATATTAATGTGAAGATAATAAAAAATAGAATGAACTAGTGTAAAGAATGATCACATAGCTCAAAAAGTTAAACATAATCACCATCAGCAATTCTACTCCTAATTATACTTCCAAAATAATTGAAAACAGGGACTCAAACAGATACTTTACCACAAAGTTTATGACAAAATAATTCACAATAGCCAAAAGGTTACCAGGTATACTTCTACAGATGAAGGAATCAACAAAATGTAATATACACATACAATGGAAAATTATTCAGCTATAAAAATGAATGGAATTCTGATACATGTGACAACATGGATGAACCTTGAAAACATTATGCTAAGGAAAACAAACCAGACACAAAAAGATAAATATTATATGACTCAATTTATATAAAATGTTGAGAAAGGGCAAATTTATGGAGATGGAAAGCAGATTAGAGGTTACCAGGGGCTGGGTGGAGTAGGGTATGGAATGTTATTGCTTAAAGAGTACAGCGTTTCTGTTTGGGGTGATGAGAAATTCTGGAAACAGATAGTGGTAATGGGTGTACAACACTGTAAATGTAATTAATGCCACTGAGTTGTACACTTAAACATGGTTAAAATGGTAACTTCTGTATTGTATATATTTTGCCACAATAAAAAGTAAATTAAAAAAATAATAATCACACAAATTTGACCAAGCAGTCGTTTCATAAAGTAGAAGGATGATTCAGGATTGTGATATGAATTATATTTTTAATGACGAAGGAACATTTTAATGACAAAAAATACTTATGGCTATAGCAGCTCAAAGTCAAGACATAAATAAAGCACTTATTACTATTAGCAGATATATTCTAGTAGTTTGACTTTAAGATACACTGACTACATTGGCTTTCATAAATATCAATTTCTTTAGTAATCTGAAATAAAATTCGTGGCAATAAGCCAAGTTCCTAATGCAAGAGATATTGACAATCATCATTTAACAGTCAACCACTTACTTATTTTAAAGGTTTGAAAAGCACTAAGAGCTAAAAACAGAAAAGACTAAGCTCCACTTTCCTCAAAGACTAAATCTCTTGAGACGCTGATGATTCTGGCTTCCTTGAATGTGCCTGGGGTAATAAAAATAATTTTAGACCAGGGTTTATGTGAACAATGGGAAAAAAAGTCACATCTTTATTTTCACTAACCTCTAACTGAAGTTAAGGATTTTCTACAGCTATGATGTATGCAACAGATTACATAAAAGTACCTTTGATTTTGTCTAACAATAAATCTGAGACATTTTTATATCACATTATTGTTTTAGACAAAATCCATAGTCCACATATGTTTTACATATCATTTAATTAACACTTTAAGCATCCCAGACAGAAAGAAACAATCAGAATACTTAACAAATTCCAGTTTCTGATGTATATTGGAGTATACACTATATATTTTAATTAAGGAAGTCAGGTAGAAATCTGATTTCTACCACAGAAGTTTTAAATGCTATTTGAACATTTAACAATTTATTTTCAGGGGATTTTTTTCCTTAATTTGCTTTGAAAAAGGAAAATTTGAAATGTTCCTATTCTAGAATATTTTCCCCAAACATACCAGCAAGTGAATTCCCAGTTTTTACTTTAAACTTATCTTACTTCCCATCTAAATAAAGGATACTGGGGCTGGGTGCAGTGGCTCCTGCCTGTTATCCCAGTATTTTGGTGAGCTGAGGCGGGAGGATCACGAGGCCAGGAGTTTGAAACCAGCCTGAGCAACATAGTGAGACCGCATCTCTATGAAACATTTTAAAAATTAGGTAGGCATAGTGGCGTGTGCACCTGTAGTCCCAGCTACTCAGGAGGCTAAGGCAAGAGGTTCCCTTGAACCCAAGAGTTAGAGGCCCCAGTGAGCTATGATGATGCCACTGCACTCCAGCCGGGGTGACAGTGAGACCTCATCTCTCCCCCAACCCCCCACTATATATATATATTCTTGCACATAAGACAAAGTAGGAATGTTCTTGCACATAAGACAAAATAGGAATAACAGTTCTGTAGTCACTCTCTCTCTTAGGGAAAATTGGGCCCTATCATTATGGAGAAACAAGCATGTAGCTGGCATGAAAAGAAGAGTAGAGAAAGCATAACAGAATTTTAGAACTAGAAGAACCTTGGTCATCATCTAAACCTACTCCAGTGACTCTAGAGGAAAAGCTGAGGAAGTGTTATCACATCATTTATTTTTCTCTTTAAATCATACCAACACCTCTCCTTCAAGATTCTGATTCCCAGCCATAGTCACTAATATGAATACCTTGTATCTCTCAGGTGTGCAGGAACAGAAAAGTTGAGAACCTCATATTTTAATGTTTATAGTTCTAAAAAACTAATGCCTGGGTTAATCAGTGGCTAAAGACACATCATACTACTGCCCAAAGAAAAAGGTTATAGTCTTGATGCTTTGAGAACTTATGTTCTTGCTTCCCAATATTCTGTAATTCTAACTTTCTTGTTCTAAAACAAGGTATGATAGGCTAAAACAAGTTATTCGAAATTGCCAGGGAATACAACCTATGAAGAGAAATAGGAAAACATCTCAGATAACTCTGACAGACTAGGTATGGTTTTAGAGAGGAAAATATAAATGACTTTTCCTTTAAAAAGAATTAGCTCGGCTGGGCGCAGCGGCTCACGCCTGTAATTGCAGCACTTTGGGAGGCCGAGGCGGGTGGATCACCTGAGGTCAGGAGTTCGAGACCAGCCTGACCAACATAGAGAAATGCCATCTCCACTAAAAATAAAAAAATCAGCTGGGCGTGGTGGCGTGCACCTGTAATCTCAGCTACTCTGGAGGCTGAGACAGGAGGATGGCTTGAACCCAGGAGGTGGAGGTTGCAGTGAGCCAAGACCACACCACTGACTCCAGCCTGGGCAAAAAGAGTGAAACTCCATCTCAAAAAAAAAGAAAAAAATTAACTCCTCTATTGTGTAATATACTTTCTTGCCTTCTAAGCTGTGCATACATGACGTATGTATACTCTCTAGACAAGCCAGGAGTCTTCCTTTGAACACCCTCCTATACTTCAGATGAGTAGAAACAAGTCCTTTTATTTTTTTTGAGATGGAGTCTTGCTCTGTCGCCCAGGCTGGAGTGCAGTAGCGCGATCTCGGCTCACTGCAACCTCCACCTTCCAGGTTCAAGCAATTTTCTGCCTCATCCTCCAGAGCAGCTGGGATTATAGGTGCCCACCACCACGCCCAGCTAATTTTTGTATTTTTAGTACAGTTGGGGTTTCACCATGTTGGCCAGACTGGTCTTGAACTCCTGACCTCATGATCCACCTGCCTCAGCCTCCCAAAGTGCTGGGATTACAGGCATGGGCCACTGAGTCCAGCCAGAAACAAGTCTTTTGTGTAGTTCCCTACAAGTTCAACTTAGATTTTTATTTTTCATTTATTATAATTGAAAAATTATGGGCAATCCTTGATACTTATTTAGTAATCTGAAGACTAACCTCCAAGAACCTGCAAATCTTTTATTAATATATATAAAAGCTAAAACAAGGCTAGGAGCGGTGGCTCACACCTGTAATCCCAGCACTTTGGGAAGCTGAGGCGGGTGGATCATGAGGTCAGGCGTTCAGGACCAGCCTGGCTAACGTGGTGAAACCCCATCTCTACTAAAAATACAAAAATTAGCTGGGCATGGTGATGCGCCCCTGTAATCCCAGATACTCAGGAGGCTGAGGCAGAGAATTGCTTGAACCTGGGAGGCGGAGGTTGCAGTTAGTGGAGATCAGGCCACTGCACTCCAGCCTGGGCGACAGAGCAAGACTCCGTCTCAAAAAAACAAACAAAAAACAAAACAAAACAAAACAAAAAAAACAAAGAACTAAAATAAAGGTCAATCTGGGAGTATATAGGCCCGTGAACCCACTAGAATGAAACTAGTTTTGCCTGTAAAAATTACAATTGTTCAGTGGATTTAACTTGAAGGGCGTTTCTGGGTTTGCAATCCAAATTGTGCAGTCATCATGCTAACACTGCTGAGATATGTCTGAGCACCCTTCAATTGTTCTGTGTCTAAACTCCCCCATTTACCACTTTTCCTGACTATGTCATTGGTGAGGGCACACCCAAGTTTGCCTAAGACTGGGAGTTGTCCTAAAGATTACTCAAAATGACATTTATTTTAAACCAGATTATTCTCTCTAATAGGAACTATGTGCCAATAATGTCACTAGTTTTACCCCATGATGGTCTTCATAAATAAAGCTACTCTTAGGACAAAATACAATCAGGTTATAATCAAAAGCCAGAGATACTCTATAAGTCAAAATGATAGATCAAATAAAAAATAGAAACAAACTATATACCTATTAAAAACAGATAGATGTAATCAGAAAGATGAACTGAAAATATTTCCTTGTAACACTAATGATATGGTAGTTTTACAAATAAGCACTTGCTCAATATATTTAACTTATCTTGGGTAAATAGTAAGAATGAAGATTTTAGTTTCCTGCCATGCACCTGGGAGAATGGAGACAGAGTGAAATGATTGTGGGTGGTACTCACTTGCAAAACTGCCTCTGTCAAGTTTTTCTGAAGAGCTTTATTATTTTCCTTAGTTTGCCAATAGCAATAGTCTTTGAGACTATTTTGAACAAAATTTCCTTTGAGAATCACTTTGTTTACCATCATTGGCAGACAATTTGAAGCAAATAAAGGCTAGCTGGTATCTTGTAGCTAAAACACAGGGCTAGAAGGTTTTAGTCTTTATTAAATCTAGAATCAGTAATATAATTAAATAACACACCAACAGCAGAAATTGTTGCCCAATTCTTTAGATAAAGAAGTAGGCATGACCAAGCGCATATACATCAGAATTAAGACTGTTATGCTACTGGCTGTATTATCTAGACATATCACAAAAGTTGTTTCAGGAAAACAAACAACTGAAATGACTAGTCTTAACACGTAAGGCATTTCTAACTTTCTTAACTCCCAGTTTTTAAAAAAACCAAAGCGTCATCATCATCAAAAGAAACGATTCCAACTCAGAATTAAACTAAGATAGTTAAAGATGGAACTGAATTTGGGGATGTAAACTAGTATAGCCACTAAGGAGAAGAGTATGGAGAGTACTCAAGAAAAGTACAACTAGAACTACCATATGATCCAGCAATCCCACCACTGAGCATTTATACAAAGCAAAGGAAATTAGTAAAATTAGTATATCAAAGAGACACCTGCACTGCATGTTTATTGCAGCACTATTCACAGTAGCCAAGATATGGACTCAACCTGGGTGTCCAAAAACAGATGAA
This sequence comes from Homo sapiens, assembly GCF_000001405.40. Lineage (NCBI taxonomy): Eukaryota > Metazoa > Chordata > Mammalia > Primates > Hominidae > Homo > Homo sapiens. Next base: position 19,515 of record NW_025791798.1, read on the forward strand.
TGGATAAAGAAAGTGTGGTATGTATATACAATGGAATACTATTCAGCTCTTAAAAAGAATAAAATCCTATCATTCATAGCAACGTAGATGGAACTGAAGGACATTATGTTAAGTGAAATAAGCCAGGAACAGAAAGCTAAACACCACATGTTCTCATTCATATGTGAGAGTCAGAAAAAAAAAGTTGATCTCATAGATGTAAAAATTAGAACAGACGATACTTGAGGGTGAGAAGGGCATGGGTATGGGCGGAGGGCAGGGGGATAGGAAGAGATTTGTTAAAGGATACAAAAGTATAGCTAGATAAAAAAAGAGTAAGTCTAGTATTCTACACTATTGAAGGATGACTACGGTTAACAATAATATATTAGACTCAAATAGCTAGGAGGAGGATATTGAATGTTTCTAATACAAAGTAATGATAAATGATTGAGACAATGGATATACTAATTACATTGATCTGATCACTATACTTTAATAGGTATTGAAAAAAAGATGGAACCAAAGACAATTACTCTAACATTCACATTTATTAGATTCTGCCTGTCTATATGGGTAGGATCTCATCTTGGTGGGAAAACAAGTTGAACTAAGTCAAAATCTGAAAAGCCCATCCTCTTTACATAATATATTCTAAATTTATAGCAATGAACTAGATAGACCTAGAAAAACTAACATGAGATTAATGAGGTTTAAATAAATGAGTAAGCCGGGTGCAGTGGCTCACGCCTGTAATCCTGGCGCCTTGGGAGGCCGAGGCGAGTGGATCACGAGGTCAGGAGATTGAGACCATCCTGGCCAACATGGTGAAACCCCATCTCTACTAAAATACAAAAAATTAGCTGGGCATGGTGGCGCATGCCTGTAGTCCCAGCTACTTGGGAGGATGAGGCAGGAGAATAGCTTGAATTCAGGAGGCGGAGGTTGCAGTGAGCCAAGATGGCGCCACTGCACTCCAGCCTGGTGACAGAGCAAGATTCTGTCTCAAAAATAAATAAATAAATAAGTAAAAAATAGTAGGCAATTTTAGGCAAAGTAATTAAGCAATAAGATGGCAATGTAAACCAGTGCATACAAAAAGTTAATTCTTTATGTTTCTACACTACCTCATAAAGGACAAAAATCCTTATTTTAATTTTTAATGTAATAAAAATATAGTTTAAAAAAGATATATAGAGCCTACATATGCCAAAAAAAAATAGCTAAAGATCATTAAGCTAAAATGTGTACTTTAGTCCACACCATCTGCTACATAGTGGCTTGTGTAGACAGTTAACCATGAACAGAATAAGCTGCGATAGTAGCAAGGAACCACATACTCTACTTCATGTACAGTGTATAGTCCTTAGGGCATAAGTACACATTCCTTAGTATATTAATAGGGATTTGGTAAGAAACGGTTTGGGGCAGGGATTGTAAGTAGACTTGTCAAATCTATTTAATAGATAAGTAGATTGCTCTAAAGTGTAATTTCTCATACCCTTCAAAATGCTAATGACTGCCTAGCTAATCTCCAAAAGAAGAATATAATATTCAGCATTCCTAAACACATAGGAAAAGATCATTCATTTTGTATCAAATACCTTGTATAATTAGTGTCCTATGATATACACTTTGGGAAACGTTGAACTAATTCCTATCAATATACTAAGGTTAAAAGATAACTCCCTGGCTGGGCACAGTGCTTCAAGTCTGTAATTCTAGCTACTCAGGAGGCTGAAGCTGGAGGACTACCTGAGGCCAGGAGCTTGAGGCCAGCCTGGGCAACATAGCAAGACCCCATCTCTTAAAAAAGAAATAAAATTAGCTGGGTGTGGTGGTGTGTGCCTGTCATCTCAGCTACTCAGGAGGCTGAAGTGAGAGGATACTAGAGCCCAGAAGTTCAAGGTTGCAATGAGCTATGATCACTCACTCACTCACTCACTCATTCATTCACTCAGCACTATTTCCATTAAGTCAGTATTTTCAAAATTTGCCTGGTTACAACAGTCATGGGGTATTTGTTAAACTACAAATTTCTGGGTCACATAACTAACCCTAATGACTCAATTTTATGGGAGGAGGCTGAGATTCTGTAGTTTTACCAAGTGCCTCAGATGGCTACTATAAAACTTCATTCGTTCAACCATTCCTGTGTTTAAATATCTGAGCGACTAATAAGTCCCAGTCATTTTTCCATGTGCTAGGGATAGAAGGTAAATAAGAAAAAGTTCCTTTTGTCATGCAGATATGGGAACATCAATAAGAAAAGAAAATTAATAGCCGGGCACTGTGGCTCACGCCTGTAATCCCAGCACTTTGGGAGGCCAAGGCAGGTGGATCACCTGAGGTCAGGAGTTCAAGACCAGCCTGGCCAACATGGTGAAACCCCATCTCAACTAAAAATACAAAAATCAGCCAGGCATGGTGGCAGGCACCTGTAATCCCAGCTGCTTGGGAGGCTGAGGCTAGAGAATCACTTGAACCTAGGAGGCAGAGGTTGCAGTGACCGGAGACTGCACCATTGCACTCCAACCTGGGTGACAAGAGCGAAACTCTGTCTCGAAAAAAATAAAAATAAAAATAGAAAAGATAATTAATAAGATAATTTCAGCTTATGGTGTTATAAAGAAAATAAAGAAGGGTGATTAGAGAGGCTATTTTTTATTGGGTGGACTGTCAGGACCTTTCTGAGGAGGTAACCCTTAAGGTGAGACTTGCATGAAAAGGAGCCAGACATATGAGGATCCTGAAAAGACTGATTAGGACAGAGGAACAGCTGTGAGAAGACCCTAAGATGGGAATCAGCTTGGTATATTTAGGAAATATTAATGTAGCTAAAGCATAGTGAGTAACAAAGTGTTTTTTTTTTAAAGAGGGTAAATTAGGTAGGCACTACATCTTGTAGTGTAGCACACTATAATAAGGAGTGTGAATTTTACTCTGAAAATGACGTAAAACGACTGAAAGGTTAGCATTTTTTTTTTTGAAACAGGGTCTTGCGCTGACATCAAGCTGGAGTGCAGTGGTGCAATCAGGGCTTACTACAGCCTCAACCTCCCAGGCTCAAGTGATCTTCCCGCCTCAGCCTCCTAGTAGCTGGGATCACAGTCATGTGCCACTACACCCAGCCAGTTTTTTGATTTTTTTTATGGAGACAGGATCTCCCTATGTTGCTTATGCTCGTCTCGGTCTCAAACTCTGGGGCTCAGGCGATTCTCCTGCCTCAGCCTCCGAGGATTACAGGTGTGAGCCACCACACTTGGCCAGCATAATTTTTTAAAAATGCAGGCTGCTGGTTTGAGAATGGATTGTAGGGGAGACCAAGAACAGAAATGGGGAAACCAGTTACAAGTTTACTGAAGAAACCACAGAAAGACATGATAATGGCTGTAGTGAAGCTGATGGAGGGAGGCAGGTTGATGATATCTTACGGAAAGAGAGCTCACGGGCTAGTCTTCAAAAGTAATGTCCATATTACTTTCTTTGTTTCTTTTCTTTTTTTTTTTTTTTTTTTTTTTTGAGACGGAGTCCTGCTCTGTTGCCTAGGCAGGCACCATCTCAGCTCACTGCAACCTCTGCCTCCCAGGTTCAAGCGATTCTCCTGCCTCAGCCTCCCGAGTACCTGGGATTACAGGCACCCGCCCACCACGCCCAGCTAATTTTTGTATTTTTAGTAGAGACAGGGTTTCACCATGTTGGCCAGGCTGGTCTTGAACTCCTGACCTTGTGATCCACCTGCCTCGGCCTCCCAAAGTGCTGAGATTACAGGCATGAGCCACTGCGCCTGGCCCATGTTACTTTGAGATCTGTAGCTCTTTCATTAATGTATTCAGTAAATATTTTCTGAGAACCTTCTACATGTGAAACACTATTCTAGTTACTAGAAATGTAGTAACAAAATCCCTGCCATCAAGGAGCTTAAATTTTAGTGGAGAAAAAAACAACCAGTAACCTATGTCAAGAACAGTAAGCTATAAAACAAACAAAAAAGCTGAGTAAAAGAATACAGAGGACTAGTGGGAGAGTGGTTTGTGTGCACACTTAGATACTCAGTCTGAAAGGCCTCTCAGATAATGTGACATCTGAGCAGAAAATTGAAGATATCTAACCATACAAATATCTGCAGGAAGAACAGTTAGTGCTAAGCGAAGCAGGTATGTATTGACATGTTTGATGAATGGCAGCAAGGAGACCGGATTATCAGACAGAATAAGCAAGTTGAAAGTGACAGAGTATGGAATAAGAGATGGATATAGATGTTGGAGGAGGAATCAAAGATCATGTGCGGCCTTGTAGGATATAGTCAGGATTTTTGTTTTTACTGTGAGATAAGAAGCCATTGAAAGGTTTTGGTTTCTGTTTTAACATGATCACAACAGCTATAGTCTGGAATGAGCAGATAGCAGGGACCAAGCAAATAAACAGAAAAAAGTTAGAAGGCTTTTACAGTGGTCCAAGAAAAGATAATGGTAGTATGGATCAGATCAGAAATACTAGAGGTAATGAGAAGTGGTCAGATGCTGGATATGTTGACTAGCCTAGGTATGTTTCAAAGGAGGGACTGACAAGATTGGCATGCTGATGATTGGCTACAGGGTGGGAGAGAAAGAAAAGAGTCAAAGATATTTCCACAGCAATTAGATGAACAGAGATGCCATTTACCCTTTACTGAGTTGGAGACTGACAGAGAGCTAGCAATCGAATTAAAGGCACAGTGCTTATGATGGTTTTTTTTTTTTTCCAAGCCAGCTTAGTAGGGAATCCTGTGTAGTGGAAAACCAGTGGGATGGGTTTTTAAATTAGGTGTGAGTTCTCCATGTACCCACCAAATGGCAGTAAGAAAAAATTCATTTAAAGAGGTGGAAGCAATCCAAATGTCCACTAATGGATGAATAAACAAAATGTGCTATATGTGTGTGTGTGTGTGTGTGTGTGTATACACACACACACACACACACACATACATAAAATGGAATATTATTCAACCTTTAAAAAGGAAGGAAATTCAGACACATGCTACAACATGGATGAATCTTGACAGCAATACACTAAATCAAATAAGCTAGTCATACAAAGGCAAATACCATATGATTCCACTTATATTAGTTATCTAAAGGAGTCAAATTAATAGAAACAGAAAACAGAATGGTGGTTAACGGGGTGGTAGGGAGTGGAAAATGGAGAGTTGTTCATTGGGTATAGAAGTTCAGTTTTGCAAAATGAAAAAGTTCTGGAGATCTGCACAACAATGGAAATACTCTTAACACTACTGAACTATACACTAAAAAATTATTAAGATGCTAGGTTTTATTGCTTTTTTTTTTCTTTTTCTTTTTAAACAGTCTTGCTCTGACACCCAGGCTGGAGTGTGGTAGCACGATCTAAGTTCCCTGCAACCGCCGCCTCCCGGGTTCAAGCAATTCTCCTGACTCAGCCTCCCGAGTAGCTGTGATTACAGGCACGTGCCACCATGCTCAACTAATTTTTTTGTATTTTTAGTAGAGATGGGGTTTCACCATATTGTCCAGGCTGGCCTCAAACTCCTCACCTCAAGTGATCTGCCCACCTCAGCCTCCCAAAGTGTTGGGATTACAGGCGTGAGCCACCATGCCTGGCCTTATGCTATTTTTTTAAGCCACAATTTAAAAAATTGTATTTGACTCCGTAGTCTTTTGGCTAATACATTGTGGTCTTCATTAATAGCATTCATAAGTCTAAAAGGAGAGCTCCATTTTCCATTTTTAAAATTTCCCTGCCCGGGCACAGTGGCTCACGCCTGTAATCCCAGCACTTTGGGAGGTTGAGGTGGGTGGATCACTTGAGGTCAGGAGTTTGAGACCAGACTGGCCAGCATGGTGAAACCCAGTCTCTACTAAAAATACAAAAAATTAGCTGGGTGTGGTGACAGGTGCCTGTAACCCCAGCTGCTTGGGAGGCTGAGGCAGGAGAATCGCTTGAACCTGGCAGGCGGAGGTTGCAGTGAGCCAAGATTGCGCCACTGCATTCTAGACAAAGTGAGACTCTGTCTCAAAAATAAAAAATTTCCCTATGTGCATTAATTATGCAGCAACCTTATCTCCTAATTCACAAGATATGTACTCATACTATGCTTCAAAAGAGGACAAATAATAAAGCTTAAATATGATGACACCTAGTGCAGCTACAGAAATTACTTATAACAATTTGCTTGAAAAAAGCCAATGAGGAAGCAAAGCAAAGCAAATGCCAAAGCAAGTACTTTTTTTTTTAAATACTTTAAGTTCTGGGTTACATGTGCAGAATGTGCAGTTTTGTTATACAGGTATACACGTGCCATGGTGGTTTGCTGCACCCATCAACCCGTCATCTACATTAGGTATTTCTCCTAATGTTATCCCTTCCCTACCCCCCCGGGCTCTGGTGTGTGATGTTCCCCTCCCTGTGTCCATGTGTTCTCATTGTTCAACTCCCACTTATGAGTGAGAACATGTGGTGTTTGGTTTTCTGATCTTGTGACAGTTTGCTGAGAATGATGTTTCCAGCTTCATCCATGTCCCTGCAAAGGACAGGAACTCATCCTTTTTTATGGCTGCATAGTATTCCATGGTGTATATGTGCCACATTTGCTTTATCCAGTCTATCATTGATGGACATTTGGGTTGGTTCCAAGTCTTTCCTATTGTGAATAGTGCCGCAATAAACATGCACATGTGTCTTTATCGTAAAATGATTTATAATCCTTTGGGTATATGCCCAGTAATGGGATTGCTGGGTCAAATGGTATTTCTAGTTCTAGATCCCTGAGGAATCACCACACTCTATTCCATAACGATTGAACTAATTTACACTCCCACCAACAGTGTAGAAGCATTCCTATTTTCCCACAACCTCTCCAGCATGTGTTGTTTCCTGACTTTTTAATGGTTGCCATTCTAACTGGTGTGAGATGGTATCTCACTGTGGTCTTGATTTGCATTTCTCTGATGACCAGTGATGATGAGCATTTTTTCATATGTCTGTTGGCTGCATAAATGTCTTCTTTTGAGAAGTGTCTGTTAATATCCTTTGCCCATTTTTTGATGGGGTTGTTTGCTTTTTTCTGGTAAATTTGTTTAAGTTCTTTGTAGATTGTGGATATTAGCCCTTTGTCAGATGGATAGATAGCAAAAATTTTCTCCCGTTCTGTAGGTTGCCTGTTCACTCTGGTAATAGTTTCTTTTGCTGTGCAGAAGCTCTTTAGTTTAATTAGATCCCATTTGTCAATGTTGGCTTTTGTTGCCATTGCTTTGGTGTTTTAGACATGAAGTCTTTGCCTATGCCTGTGTCCTGAATGGTATTGCCCAGGTTTTCTTCTAGGATTTTTATGGTCCTAGGTCTTATGTTTAAGTCTTTGATCCATCTTGAGTTGATTTTTGTATAAGGTGTAAGGGGGTCCAGTGTCAGTTTTCTGCATATGGATAGCCAGCTTTCCCAACACCATGTATATGTTTGTGTAGTTTGTGTAGCCTCCTTTCCCCATTGCTTTTGTCAGGTTTGTCAAAGATCAGATGGTGGTAGATGTGTGGTGTTATTTCTGAGGCCTCCGTTCTGTTCCATTGGTCTATATATCTGTTTTGGTACCAGTACCATGCTGTTTTGGATACTGTAGCCTCGTAGCAAAGTTTGAAGTCGGGTAGCTTGATGTCTCCAGCTTTGTTCTTCTTGCACAGGATTGCCTTGGCAATGCGGGCTCTTTTTTGGTTCCATATGAACTTTAAAGTAGTTTTTTCCCAATTCTGTGAAGAAAGTCAGTGGTAGCTTGATGGGGATAGCATTAAATCTATAAATCACTTTGGGCAGTAAGGCCATTTTCATTATATTGATTCTTCCTACCCATGAGCATAGAATGTTTTTCCATTTGATTGTGTCCCCTCTTATTTCCTTGGGCAGTGGTTTGTAGTTCTCCTTGAAGAGGTCCTTCACATCCCTTGTAAGTTGGATTCCTAGGTATTTTATTCTCTTAGTAGTAATTGTGAATGGGAGTTCACTCATGATTTGGCTCTCTGTTTGTCTGTTACTGGTGTATAGGAATGCCTGTGATTTCTGCACATTGATTTTGTATCCTGAGACTTTGCTGAAGTTGCTTATCAGCTTAAGGAGATTTTGGGCTGAGACGATGGGGTTTTCTAAATACACAATCATGTCATCTGCAAACAGAGACAATTTGACTTCCTCTCTTCCTATTTGAATATCCCTTATTGCTTTCTCTTGCCTGACTGCCCTGGCCAGAACTTTCAACACTATGTTGAATAGGAGTGGTGAGAGAGGGCATCCTTGTCTTGTCCCGGTTTTCAAAGGGAATGCTTCCAGTTTTTGCCCATTCAGTATGATACTGGCTGTGGGTTTGACATGAATAGCTCTTATTATTTTGAGATATGTTCCATCAATACCTAGTTTATTCAGAGTTTTTACCATGAAAGGCTGTTGAATTTTGTTGAAGGCCTTTTCTGCATCTGTTGAGATAATCATGTGGTTTTTGTCATTGGTTCTGTTTATATGTTGGATTACGTTTATTGATTTGCTATGTTGAACCAGCCTTGCATCCCAGGGACGAAGCCCACGTGCTCATGGTGGATAAGCTTTTTGATGTGCTGCTGGATTCGGTTTGCCAGTATTTTATTGAGGATTTTTGCATCAATGTTCATCAGGGATATTGGTCTAAAATTCTTTTTTGTTGTGTCTGTCAGACTTTGGTATCAGGATGATGCTGGCCTCATAAAATGAGTTATGGAGGATTCCCTCTTTTTCTATTAATTGGAATAGTTTCAGAAGGAATGGTATCAGCTCTTCTTTGTACCTCTGGTAGAATCTGGCTGTGAATCCTTCTGGTCCTGGACTTTTTTTGGTTGGTAGGCTATTAATTATTGCCTCAATTTCAGAACCTGTTATTGGTCTATTCAGAGATTCAACTTTTTCCTTGTTTAGTCTTGGGAGGGTGTATGTATCCAGGAATTTATCCATTTCTTCTAGATTTTCTAGTTTATTTACATAGAGGTGTTTATAGTATTCTCTGATGGTAGTCTGTATTTCTTTGGGATAGGTGGTGATATCCCCTTTATCATTTTTTATTATGCCTATCTGATTCTTCTCTCTTTTCTTGTTTATTAGTCTTGCTAGCAGTCTATTTTGTTGATCTTTTCAAAAAACCAGCTCCTGGATTCATTGATTTTTTTAAGGGATTTTGTGTCCCTATCTCCTTCAGTTCTGTTCTGATCTTAGTAACTATTTCTTGCCTTCTGCTAGCTTTTGAATTTGTCTGCTCTTGCTTCTCTAGTTCTTTCAATTGTGATGTTAGGGTGTTGATTTTAGATCTCTCCTGCTTTCTCTTGCGGGCATTTAGTGCTACAAGTTTCCCTTTACACACTTCTTTAAATGTGTCCCAGAGATTCTGGTACGTTATGTCTTTGTTCTCATCGGTTTCAAAGAACATCTTTATTTCTGCCTTCATTTCGTTATTTACCCAGTAGTCATTCAGGAGCAGGTTGTTCATTTTCCATGTAGTTGCGTGGTTTTGAGTGAGTTTATTAATCCTGAGTTTTAATTTGATTGCACTGTGGTCTGAGAGACAGTTTGTTGTGATTTCTGTTTCTTTTACATTTGCTGAGGAGTGCTTTACTTTCAATTACGTGGTCAATTTTAGAATAAGTGCTATGTGGTGCTGAGAAGAATGTATATTCCGTTGATTTGGGGTGGAGAGTTCTGTAGATATCTATTAGGTTCACTTGGTGCAGAGCTGAGTTCAGTTCCTGGATATCCTTGTTAATTTTCTGTCTCGTCGATCTAATATTGACAGTGGGCTGTTAAAGTCTCCCATTGTTACTGTGTGGGAGTCTAAGTCTCTTTGTAGGTCTCTAAGAACTTGCTTTATGAATCTGGGTGCTCCTGTATTGGGTGCATATACATTTAGGATAGTTAGCTCTTCTTGTTGAATTGATTCCTTTACCATTATGTAAATGTCTCTTTTGATCTTTGTTGGTTTAAAGTCTGTTTTATCAAACAGACCAGGATTGCAAGCCCTGCTTTATTTATTTATTTATTTTTGTTTTTCATTTCCTTGGTAGATCTTCCTCCATCCCTTTATTTTGAGCCTATGTGTGTCTTTGCACGTGAGATGGGTCTCCTGAATACAGCACACCGATAGGTCTTGACTCTTTATCCAATTTGCCAGTCTGTGTCTTTTAATTGGGGCACTTACCCTATTTACATTTAAGGTTAATAATTGTTATGTGTGAATTTGATCCTGTCATTATGTGCTAGCTTGTTATTTCATCTGTTAATTGATGTAGTTTCTTCATAGCACTGATGGTCTTTACAATTTGGTATGTTGTTGCAGTGGCTGGTACCAGTTGTTCGTATCCACGTTTAGTGCTTCCTTCAGGAGCTCTTCTAAGACAGACTTGGTGGTGACAAAATCTCTCAGCACTTGCTTGTCTGTAAAGGATTTTATTTCTCCTTCACTTATGAAGCTTAGTTTGGCTGGATATGAAATTCTGGGTTGAAAATTCTTTTCTTTCAGAATGTTGAATGTTGGCTCCCACTCTCTTCTGGCTTGTAGGGTTTCTGCTGAGAGATGCACTGTTAGTCTGATGGGTTTCCTTTTGTGGGTAACCTGACCTTTCTCTCTGGCTGCGCTTAACATTTTTCCCTTCATTTCAACCTTGGTGAATCTGACAATTAAGTGTCTTAGGGTTGCTCTTTTTGAGGAGCATCTTTGCGGTGTTCTCTGTATTTACTGAATTTGAATGTTGGCCTGCCTTGCTAGGTTGGGGATGTTCTCCTGAATAATATCCTGAAGAGTGTTTTCTAACTTGGTTTCATTCTCCCTGTCACTTTCAGGTACACCAATCAAACGTAGATTTGGTCTTTTCACATAGTCCCATATTTCTTGGAGGCTCTGTTCATTTCTTTTCACTTTTTTTTCTCTAATCTTGTCTTCTCACTTTATTTCATTAATTTGATCTTCGATCACTGATATCCTTTCTTCCGCTTGATTGAATCGGCTATTGAAGCTTGTGTATGCTTCACTAAGTTCTTGTACTGTGGTTTTCAGATCCATCATGTCATTTAAGCTCTTCTCTACACTGGTTATTCTAGTTAACCATTTGTCCTACCTTTTTTCAAAGATTTTAGCTTCCTTGCAATGGGTGAGAACATGCTCCTTTAGCTCGGAGAAGTTTGTTATTACCGACCTTCTGAAGCCTACTTCTGTCAACCTGTCAAACTCATTCTCCATCCAGTTTTGTTCCCTTGCTGGTGAGGAGTTGTGTTTCTTTGGAGAAGAAGAGGCATTCTGGTTTTTGGAATTTTTTAGCCTTTCTGCTCTGGTTTCTTCCCATCTTTGTGGTTTTATCTACCTTTAGTCTTTGATGTTGGTGACTTACAGATGGGGTTTTGGTGTGGATGTCCTTTTTGTTGATGTTGATGCTATTCCTTTCTGTTTGCTAGTTTTCCTTCTAACAGACAGGCCACTCAGCTGCAGGTCTGTTGGAGTTTACTGGAGGTCCACTCCAGACCCTGTTTGCCTGGGTATCACCAGCAGAGGCTGCAGAACAGCAAATATTGCTGCCTGATCCTTCCTCTGGAAGCTTCGTCTCAGAGGGGAACCTGCTTGTATGAGGTGTCTGTCGGCCCCTACTGGGAGATGTCTCCTAGTCAGGCTACACAGGGGTCAGGGAACCACTTGAGGAGGCAGTGTGTCCATTCTTAGAGCTCAAACATCACGCTGGGAGAACCACTGCTCTCTTCAGAGCTGTCCAGGAGGGACGTTTAAGTCTGGAGAAGCTGTCTGCTGCCTTTTGTTCAGATATGCCCTGCCCCCAGAGGTGGAATCTAGAGAAGCAGTAGGCCTTGCTGAGCTGTGGTGTGCTCTGCCCAGTTCGCGGTTCCCTGCCACTTTGTTTACTCCAAGTGAGCACAGAACTGCCTACTCAAGCCTCACCAATGGCAGACGCCCCTTGCCCCACCAAGCTCCCACGTCCCAGGTCAATCTCAGACTGCTGTGCTAGCAGCTAGCAAGGCTCCGTGGGTGTGGGACCTGCTGAGCCAGGCATGGGAAGGGATCTCCTGGTCTGATGGTTGTGAAGACTGTGGGAAAAGCGCAGTATTTGGGCAGGAGTGTACCACTCCTCCAAGCACAGTCACTCACGGCTTCCCTTGGCTAGGAAAGGGAAATCCCCCGACCCCTTGTGCTTCCTGGGTGAAGCAATGCCCCACCCTGCTTTGGCTCACCCTCCGTGGGCTGCACCCACTGTCCAACCAGTCCCAATGAGATGAACCAGGTACCTCAGTTGGAAATGCAGAAATCACCCATCTTCTGTGTCAATCTTGCTGGGAGCTGTAGACCAGAGCTGTTCCTATTCAGCCATCTTGGAAGCGACTCCTTAAGATACGTGTTTTTTAAAAAATCTTAATTGAGTTCTGATATGGCTTTAAGGATACAGCAATTAGGTAAAACAGGGAAATTAGTAAAATGTAGTAAAAGTAATTCTATCTATTGCTGTCAGGACTGATAGGTTTTTATTTTATTTAATTAATTAATTTATTTTTGAGACAGAGTCTCACTCTGTTGCCCAGGCTGGAGTGCAGTGGTGCAAACTCAGATCTCTGCAACCTCCACCTCCTGGGTTCAAGCAATTCTCCTGCCTCACCTCCCGAGTAGCTGAGATTACAGGTGCCCACTGCCACATCCAGCTAATTTTTGTATTTTTAGTAGAGACGGGGTTTTGCCATGTTGGCTAGGCTGGTCTCGAAATCCCGACCTCAGATGACCTGTCTGCCTTGGCCTCCCAAAGTGCTGGGATTACAGGCATGAGCCATCGCGCCTAGCCTATTTCATTTTTTTGAGACAAAGTCTCGCTCTGAGGCCTAGGCAGGAGTACAATGGCACAATCTCAGTTCACTGCAGCCTAAACCTCCCAGGTCCAAGTAATCCCCTGGCCTAAGCCTTCCCAGTAGCTGGGACTACAGGCATGTGCCGTCACACCTTGCTAATTAAAAAAATGTTTTTTTGTAGAGACAAGGTCTCCCTATGTTGCCCAGGCTGGCCACAAACTCCTGTTCTCAAGTGATCCTCCTGTCTCAGCCTCCAAAGTGTTGGGATTAGAGGTGTGAACCACCATGCCCAGCCAGGGCTGATAGGTAATTTTAAAAGCTGGTTGAAATAGAGAATCACACACACACAAAAATGGCTCACACATTAATATTTCAACATAAAAGTATATAAACTTGCAAATGTATATTAATTCACCAATCATTTTGTAAAAGCGATACAACTATGCAGATTGAATTTATTCATTTTCTTTCTTGTGTAAATTACACCCATAAGGCATAAGTCTGTGATTTCCAACTTTGGTTTAAAGATACTTATGAAGCAATATCTATATTCTTTTCAAAGCTTTGTCATTGCCCCACTCCCAACTCTTTTACAGGTCTCTTGTCCACTGCTAATTTAAATACTTCCTTCCACCCCCACCTTGAGACGGAGTCTTGCTCTGTCACCCAGGCTGGAGTGCAGTGGTGTGATCACGGCTCACTGCAAACTCCACCTCCCTGGTTCAAGCAATTCTCCTGCCTCAGCCTCCTGAGTAGGTGGGATCACAGGCACTCACCACCTGTGATCCAAAATGTGATACAAAAATGCCAGGCTAATTTTTGTATTCTTAGTAGAGAGGGGGTTTCACCATGTTGGCCAGGCTGATCTCGAACTCTTGACCGCGTGATTCACCCACCTTGGCCTCCCAAAGTAATGGGATTACAGTTGTGAGCCACCACACCTGGCCCTAAATACCTTTTTTTTAATTTTATTTTTAAGATACAGGGTCTTGTTCTGTTGCTCATGATTGAGTTCAATGACATAATCTTAGGTTACTGTAATCTTCAACTCCTGGGCTCAATCAATCCTCCCACCTCAGTCTCCTGAGTAGCTAGGATTACTGGTGTGCACCACTATAACTGGCTAATTTATTTGGTAGAGACAAAATATATCACCCAGGCTGGTCTCTAACTTGTGGCCTCAAGAGATCCTTTTGCTTCCCCTCCCAAAGTGCTAGGATTACAGGCATGAGCCACCACACCCAGCCTTAAATAAGTGTTTAATGACCTGCTAAATAATCCACGTTAGCTTTTATAGACACAACTCTACTTTCCCTATTCATATTACATCAATTTGTGTAATATTTGGTTAAATTATGGATTTATAATAAATACAAGTGTCATGAATAATTTTGGGACCAATAAAAGTCTCCTAGTAGACATAACAACAATAGAAAGAATTATCAACAGTTAGCACTTATTAGGGTATGTATGTGATAGACACCTAAACGTTTTACCTGTATTATCTCATTTACAGCAATCTCATCCTATGCTGTAAGTACTATCATGATTGTTCCATTTTACAGGAAAGGCAAAGGGAACCTCCAGGATGATGCTGAAGACAGAGCCCACTATGACAGCTGTGCAACTATCCCAGAGCGCAGACATGAGGCAGAGTGAAAAGATAACACAGAACTGGGAAGCAGGTAAAGCTCAGGTGAGATACTAGCTCTACCACATGTTATTAGTGTAACCTTGGGAAAATGAGTCAATACTTCTTAGCTTTAATTTACCATCTATGCAATAGGAATAATACTATATCACAGAAAATTGAGATAAGCCACAGAATGATCCTCAACAGACATAATAACAATTATATGCTAAAAAGAGTCATGGCGACAAATTAGAATTTAGGTAGCTGGGCATATTTCTTGGAATTCTAAACATTTTGTAGTACAATAGTACTGTGGAAAATATCAAAGTAATGTGGTTGAATTCTTAGCACTGATATACACATTGATTTATAACGATACAGTCATGTGATAATAATAGTTTGAGTCACTATTCTTGTATCAAAAAATTTGATACATTTATAGTGTGGACAAAATACACATTAACATACAGTTTGGAGGCTGGGTGCGGTGGCTCACACCTGTAATCCCAGCACTTTGGGAGGCCAAGGTAGGCGGATCACCTGAAGTTGGGAGTTCAAGACTAGCCTGACCAACATAGAGAAACCCTATCTCTACTAAAAATACAAAAAATTAGCCAGGCATGGTGGCACATGCGTGTAAGCCCAGCTACTCGGGAGGCTGAGGCAGGAGAATTGCTTGAACCCAGGAGAAGGAGGTTGCAATGAGCTGAGATCACGCCATTGTACTCCAGCCTGGGTGACAAGAGCGAAACTTCATCTCAAAAACAAACAAACACACAGTTTGGAATGTTGTGATACAATTATTTATAATAGTAATTGTTAAGGACTGTCTGTACTACATTTCCCAGTACAATTTTATTAATGATTCCAATTCAAATAAACAATGATAATTTAATTCCATAAGTTTTAAACATGCCTAAAGCTGTGTTGGATGCTGTGGGGAACAAGAGTGAGCATAAGATATTTCCTGACATTAAGCAGCTCATAATCTAGTTGAAAAGTCAACTTCAACTTAAGAAACTAAGAAAGAATGATGGTAATAATAGTAACTTACACATAGTAACATTTTACAGTTTTTAAAATATTTTCACATATTTCTTTTGGTTCTCATGATAACCCTGTGATACAGATAGGAAATATTAAAAAGCTAAAGCAAGATTAGGCTCAATGGTTCATCCAAGGCAAACTGAGTGTAAATTTCAAAAAAGACTCGCTTGAACTTGGATTCTGATTTGTCTACTATATCATACTGGTTGTTCCTAAAATTTAGGTACAAGAATGAATAATGGTAATATACATAACTTTTAATTATCCAGGGAAGATAATTATCTAAGGCACAAGATCACAACAAGGCATGTATGAAATAATTACAAATAGTCAGAGTAGGTATCTGGTGCATGGAACTACACAGTGACCACAGATGGCCATATCGATGCGTTGCTAATGCAGCAGAGTTCACAAACATTGCCGACCCAGGTAAGACTGCCCCATCCCTTTTTGCCAAGAGCATGGCAGAACACAGAGAAGGTAAAGGAAAGCTCATGTGGTTATGGAATCCAACAGAGAGTCAGGACTGAAGGTAGAGAAATTAAGAAGAGATAAAGAACATCCACATAGAAAAGTAGATATGCTTCTACTTTGATATTTGAAAAAAAATTTTAGTAACCAAACTGTTTTACTTGTGTTATTTGTATACTTCTGATAACTCCATAAGAATCAAATTTTTGAAAATTTAACTACAAATGTTTATTAAGTTCATTTTCTACTAAACATCTTGATAAGTTTTAACTGATTCTACCTTCTCCCCTCATCCTGCCATTAACCCAGCTAACTGAAAGTTGGAAGCACTTTGCCAAATATCATTTTTAAAAATGTTTGTGCTAGAATATCTTTAAAATCTCTTCAAATGTTGCTAATCTCTTTTTTAACAGGCTTAGTCAGAGCCTAAGCTTGGCAACAGTATCTAACAAGATTAGCTGCTTTATTGTATCTATTTTTAATTTATACTCTATTTATGGCAAGCATGCTGGTATTTCATTTAGTGACAACGTTCCTTTTTAAAAGGAAACCATAAAAGCAGTGACTCAATTTAAGAAAAAAATTAAATAAACACAAAGATGATCCATAAAAATAGAAAGATTACAAAGGTAGTCTCTAAAAGACTGAATTTAGGGAAAATTTCCTACTATCATCACATAAAAACTGCACAGCAACCATGTGAAGAAGAATTATTCCTATATTCATAAAGAAACTAGCTCAGAGAAAGCTGAAATGATTTGCCCAAGGTGGTGTAGCCAATAAAGCCAATGGAACCATGGCAAAGCCAGGCCTCAGCTGTGGTCTTGGATCATCTCACTAGCAGGAAGCAGTGTGAGGGTCCACAGGGAGACGTGCAACATTGATCAAGGCAGTGTGAACTTGAAGGAGGATTTTTGAAAACCTTAAAAATCATGGAGGGCTCAAAATCACAGAGGAGGAATAAATACAGCACATGTCTGGAAAGATTTGCTTGGGAAGATTGGGTCATATTAGGAAAATCTTGGAAGGCAAATAGAGGAGTCTAAAGGAGATGGAAAACAACTGAAATTCTCTATGTAGAAGTCTAAAAATGAAAGCAGTATTTTAGGCAAGGAAACATGAGTACAAAAATGCAAAAAGAAATAAATGCTAGATATATTAGAGACAGGCAGGCAGACTCATTAATAGACCACGGCGGTCTGTCCATGTGCAAACATCTCTAAGGCTAACTGTCTAGGACAGCAGTAGTAGTTATTAATATTAATTCAACCAAGACTCTGAATGCCTACTATATGTCAGGTACATGCTAGGCACTATGGATATCAAAAACAGTGACCATTTGCTCTCAAGAAGTTCAGAGGGGAAAAATACACAATTATGAAACAATAAAATTATTACAGTTTAAGTACAAATACTGTGGGACTCAAGAAGGAAAGAACAAAAATAGGCCGCTCACACCTGTAATCCCAGCACTTTGGGAGGCCGAGGCAGGTGGATCACAAGGTCAGGAGTTTGAGACCAGCCTGGCCAAGATGGTGAAACCCCGTTTCTACTAAAAATACAAAAATTAGCTAGGCATGGTGGTGGGCATCTGCAATCCTGGCTACTCGGGAGGCAGAGGCAGGAGAACTGCTTGAACCCGGGAGGCGGAGGTTGCAGTGAGCTGAGATGGTGCCTCTGCACTCCAGCCTAGGCGACAGAGTGAGACTCTGTCTCAAAATAAATAAATAAATAAATAAATAAAATAAAAATAAAGCAATGGTAAGAGATGTTGTCAAGGGGATAACTGAGCTAAATCTTGAAGGATGATTAGTTCATGAAAAAGTAGAAAAATGGGTGGGGGGAAATGGAGGAGAGACATTCCAGAGATAAAATAGCAGGATTTAATATACCTAACATAAAAAAGAAGAAAAGAATCCTGTCATTCACAGAGAAAGTGGGTACACAGAAGCAGTGAGCACATGTACTTCCAACCTGATTCTTCCCCCTTCCTCCCTCAGTCTCAATATTTAGTCATCAAATCCAGTTAAATGTGGCTTCAGTATGCTTCCACACCAATCTATTCCATTGCACTGCCATCATTTAGATTCTCATCCTTTTCAGCTTAGACCAATTGCCACCAATTCTCCCATCTTCAAACAATCCTACATTTTCCTCCATACTAATAATCCTAAAATTCTGCCTTTATCAGTTTGCATCATTGCTTAAACAACAAAATAAATACTTTGAAAGCTTTCCAAGTGACACTGCCAGGAGACCCCAAACATTTTGTGAAGATCATTTTCACTTGTTTATTTGTAATCTACATCATGTGTGGGGTACTAATCTGAGTCCCTCAAAGCAAAGGGGAAGGGCTGCCTTTGTAAGCTCTACCTTTGTTCCTACTTTGAAATCTCAGGCTGGGGGATGATGGTGGGGATGATGGTGGTAGCGGAGGCTACTGGTGTAGACATTTATAAATAGATTGTGGTTTACTTATTTGGACCCATTGGCTTATAGGGTGAACTCGAAAAACTTCAGCTTGGCATTTAAGCCCCTTTATATTTTAGTTTAACCTTTTCTCAACTGTTGGGTATAAGCTGCCTTGTATTATCTTTTAATTAATCAACATATTAATTCAACAAATATTTACTAAGCATCTATAAATGTCAGATTATGTGCTAGGCACTGGAGATGCATAAAGATGAATAGAGCACAGCAGCTACCCCTAAGGGGCTTACAGCACATACGGGTAAGACAAGTGATTGCAGTGGGTGACTAAAGTACTATATTGGAGGTGTAGACATAGAGTATGGTAGCGTGTACATTACATTACATTTCCTGGAGTGATCACAGGGACCATTAAGGAAGAAGTGGTATTTGAGCTCAGTCTTAACATGAAGATTGTTTGCTAGGTAACTGAAGAACACTCCAAGAGGATGGAATAAATGTGTTAAAGCAACAGAGACATTCAAGAACATTCATTATATCTGGTGTGCAGTATGTACAAAAGAGTAATAAACAAGGAAGCTATTAAGCTGGGATGTTCTAGATCGTGTAGGTACATGTACCTGCTAAGCAGTACAGACTTTGTCAGCATGGGGAGACATTAGGGGGTTTTAAATGAGGGAGTAATAGGATGAGATTTACATATGAGAAAAATTCCTCTGGTAATTACTGTAATGGATGGCTTTAGGAGGTTAGACAAAAAATAACAATGGACTAGGA
This sequence comes from Homo sapiens, assembly GCF_000001405.40. NCBI lineage: Eukaryota > Metazoa > Chordata > Mammalia > Primates > Hominidae > Homo > Homo sapiens. Next base: position 38,704 of record NW_025791798.1, read on the forward strand.
TAGTAGCAGTGAAGATGGAGAGAACGGGACAAATTTGAGAATTATTTGGAAGACTAAATGAGCAAAAATCGGCGAGAAAGAAAAGGAAAGAGTGACAGAGAGATTGAATATTGTAATATATCAAGGGGGAAGGAGTCAATAAAAAAATTAGAAATCACAAGAGTTAGGAAGCAAGAAAGGTTCTAGAGCACAGGTGTATGGATCAATATTGAACGACAACAAGGAAGGTGGTAAAGGATAGGTGTCAACACAGATGCTGGTAAGAACTTATGAAGAAGAATATTAGAAATAAAGAAATACAGTTTACTCTGTGAAGTAGAAGGTTTAGCTATATGAGAATGGAGGATTGAGGTCTTAAGCATTTTAACTCTGTAAGGATTGAGAAGGGAAGCTAACTAGAATCACACAGAATGTCTAAATAGTGTCGACAGTACAACATTGTTGGAAATGATGAATTTATGGTGGTATCAGTTTTCATGGCTGTGAGATTCCCCTACTCCCCTACCCCTAGCCATAACACAGCTGCCAGGATTAAGAATGAAAGGAGGTGGCTAGGCACAGTGGCTCATGTCTGTAATCCCAGCACTTTGGGAGGCTGAGGCAAGAGGATCACTTGAGCCCAGACCAGGCTGGAAAACATAGAAGACTCTGTCTCCACACACACCCAAAAGTTTTTAATTAGCCAGTCATGGTGGTGTGTGCCTGTAGTCCCAGCTACTTGGGAGGCTGAGGCACGAGGACTGCCTGAACCTGGGAGACAGACATTGCAGTGAGTGAGCTGAGACGCACCACTGCACTCTGGCCTGGGAGACAGAGTGACTCCGTCTCAAAAAAAAAAAAAAAAAAAAAAGAATGAGAGGAGCAGGTTTGGGGGCATGAGGGGCAGGGGTCCTATCTGCCCATTATAAGCATTTTGAGACAAGAATTTTGTTTTAACGTTGCTGTGACAATTACAACTTCATGTAATACAGACAGAGCTTCATGTAACATTTATAAAATGTTCAACATTTTTGTTTTTTTGAGAAGGAGTTTCACTCTTGTTGTCCAGGCTGGAGTGCAATGGCGCGATCTCGGCTCACTGCAACCTCCGCCTCCCAGGTTCAAGCGATTCTCCTGTCTCAGCCTCCTGAATAGCTGGGATTAGAGGCATGCACCACCACACCTGGCTAATTTTGTCTTTTTTAGTAGAGACAGGGTTTCACCATGTCGGTCAGGCTGGTCTTGAACTCCTGACCTCAGGTGAGGTCAGGGATTACAGGTGTGAGCCACCAGGCCCGGCCTCAACATGTTTGTTAACTGACTCATGTTGAAGTGATTTCAAAGACAAATACCAAGAGACCAAAATTCAGGATTAGTTTTAATAAAGGCTGATGATGGAAACAAAGAAACAAAGTCCTCATCAAAACATAAGAGCTGAAGACAGAAGGATGAACTTTCCTAAAAGCCAATGGAAAGAGAAAGCACCTGAGACCAAGGGCTCAGAATGCTAGAGAAGGAAACAGAGGGAAAAAAATTATTGACACTATGACTGTAATGCTGTCATTCCAATTTTTCCCAACAAGTCTAGATACTAGAAGGAAGAAAATGGTAATTAAGGTAGAAAGTAGTGAAAATGTAGGGCCAAACATGCCTATGGAGCAGAACACACAACACATGAATCCTGAAGAAATTGTATGTGAATTTACTTAGCAATCGTCTCTTTGATCCATCTGACTTATTTTAAAGAAAAGACAGCCAGACAAGGCTGGGCGTGGTGGCTCACGCCTGTAATCCCAGTGCTTTGGGAGGCCAAGGTGGGCGGATCACCTGAGGTCAGGAGTTCGAGACCAGCCTGCAGATCTGCCACTAATACTGGGTACTCATCAACAATGTCCTTCAAAATCCAGTACATATGCTAAGAATAAGTATTAGATTAACAGAGGCTCTTAAGCAAACCAGTGCTATTTAGTGGAGTGTCCCAAGCAAGAGAAATGTTAAGACCACTTTTTGTTTGAGCTCAGATTTGTATAAAGAAAATGCAAATGAGGTAAACTGTGTTCTGAATACATTAGATTAAGTTGTGTTGAAATTCTTCCAAATATGTGGAGATAAATCCACTAGAAGTTGAAGAACTCAGCAGTGATGAAGATAGTTATACTTCTAATTCACAGCCTATAACTTATACAACCTATGGTTGTAATTTTCTTCTCAGCCTATAACACTGAGAAGATGGTGAGAGTAATACCAGACAGTAGATTTAATAAAGGCCAAAGTATAATATAAAGAGAGTTTATTGGGCCAAATCCACAAACTGGTCAGTCAAGAAAAGTATAAATGATACAAGAGGACTGTACCTACACAGTTAAAAAAGAAGAAAAAAAACTTACTAAGAAATAACAAAGGAGGATGGATCTTGAGGCTGTTGCAAATATTACTGAAGAAAATTATGTATAAAGAAGATTATGGGCTAGCCAGGTGTGGTGGCTCATGCCTGCAATCCTGACACTTTGGGAGGCCGAGGCGGGTGGATCACTTGAGGTCAGGAGTTTGAGACCAGCCTGTCCAACATGGTGAAACCCCATTTCTACAAAAATACAAAAATTAGCCAGGTGTGGTGGCGGGAGCCTGTAATCCCAGCTACTCGGGAGGCTGAGGTAAAAGAATTGCTTGAACCCAGGAGGCGGAGGTTGCAGTAAGCTGAGATTGTGCCACTGCACTCCAGCCTGGGTGACACAGTGGCTCATGCCTATAATCTTGGCACTTCCGGAGGTGGAGGTGGGATGATTGCTTGGGCCTAGGAGTTCAAGACCAGCCTGGGCAACACAGGGAGATTTGTCTCTACAAAAAAATTAAAAATTAGCCTGGCGTAGTAGTGGATGTCTATAGTCCCAGCTACTTGGGAGGCTGAGGTGAGAGGATTGCTTGAGCCCAGGAGGCTGAGGCTGCAATGAGCCATAATCATGACACTGCACTTCAGCCTGGGTGACAGACGGGAGAAGGGAGACCCTGTCTCAAAAAAAAAAAAAAAAAAAAAAAAGATTATGTCATTCTTTGGTCTTGTGGATGATCCAAATTATTTTTCATGCACTGTGGAAACATATTTCACATTTTCATTTTAAAGATGGTTTTGGAAAAATAAACATGACCATAAGAGACTATCTTCTTAACAAGAAGGGGAGAAAATTGGCCTAAACAACAAATTAGGAACTAAGGAGTTAAAAGGGGAATTAGGGGGACTAAGAGACTACTGTGAACATTTCCAATATTTTAAGAGCCTATATTGATTTCATGTTACAGTCAAAGGTTAACTGCTTAATGTAGGCTGAACATAACATTTCCTAAAGTTTTAAACCCAGACATTAAACTAGAAACTATTATTATATATACTGTATTCTGGAATTTTTTAAAAACATTGTTTTTAGTGTGTATACTTTGAATAGTAAATGTGTCATGATCTTCAATAATTTAGAAAATATAAATGGAATCATATATAAACTTTTGAGACTGCCTTTTTTTCATTGAGCCTAATGCCTTGCAGATTCATGCAAGCTGCTGTGTATTATCAACACTAGTTCCTCTTTAAAAAAAATACATTTTGAAACATAAACTACAGACCTGCCATGGTTTGAATATATCCTCCCAAAAGCATCTGTTGGAAACTTAATCCCCAATGCAACATCACTGGGAGGTGGGGGACTAATTAGAGGTAATTAGGCCATTAGGTAATTAAGCCACCCTCAACAATGGATTAATGTCATTATCAAGAGAGTTTGTAACAAAATAGGGAGTTTGGTCCCCTTCTCTCTCACTCCCTCTTACCCTCTCTGCCCTCTGCCATGGGAAGATGCAGCAAGAAGGCCCTCAGCAGATGCTGGCACCTTGGTCTTGGACTTTCCAGCCTCCAGAACCACGAGTCAATAAATTTCAATTCATTATAAATTACCCAGTCTGTGGTATTGTTATAGCAGCATGAAACATACTAAGACAACACCATATAATTCACTCAAAGTGTTCAGTGTTTCTTAATATAGTCACACTGTTGTGTAGCTGTCACCACAATCTAATTTTACATTTTTGTCTCCCCACTAAAAGAAACCCTCTACCCATCAGCAGGCTAATCCCCATCTCACTCTCCCCAACCCTATCCAGACTAAACGACCATTAATCTAACTTCTGCCTCTATAAATTTACCTATTCTGGACATTTCCTACGAATGGAATCATACAGTATGTGTTTGGGGTTTTTTGCAACTAGATTCCTTAACTTGCATTTTCAAGCTTCACACATGTTATAGCAGGAATCAGTACTTTGTTTTTATTGCCAAATAATATTCCATTATATGGCTATATCACATTTTATCTATTCATTTGTCAGCTGGAGGACATTTGGGCTGTTACTTCTTTATTAGCTATTATTTATAATGCTGCTATAAACATTCCTGTACAAGTTTTTGTGTGGAAATACACTTAATTACTGGGACATATGGTAATTCTATGTTTAACTTTTTAAGAAACTGTCAAATTGTTTTCCAAAGTAGTTGTACTGTTTTACATTGTCACTAGTAGCAGATGAGAGTTTCAATACTTCACATCCTTTCCAACACTTGATATCTGTCTTTTTGTTTATAGCCATCCCAGTGAGTGTGAAAAAACTGTACCTCATTTTGGTTTTGATGTGTATTTCTTTAATAACTAATGATGTTGAGCATCTTTTCATGTACATATTGGTGCTTTTTCCTCTCCTCACCTTAATTGGAAAGCTGTTACTTCCTTTTGTTCCCACAGTTTTGAGGTTCTGCCCTGACTTACTTATCACATTGTAAATATTATTGTTCTCTGAACTATGCATCCTTTGGTTAAAAACCTTACTTAGCATTTACATAATACATTCCCAAAGAGTCTGTCATTTTCCATTATTTCTATCCCTTTCATCATGTGATCTCTGTTCTAGGTCACTTGTTATTTGGCTAAAACCCCTTCTTGAATTTTCTCAGAGGAGTTAAGTGGGTATTATATCCTTGAAATTTTTGTATAGTTGTAACATGTTTCCCCTCATAGGGGAGAAATATCTTCAAGGGAAATAGGGATTTGGGATTGTGAAATCCCCAATCTGTAAATACTCTTCTACCATCTCCTAGTTTCCAGTGTTGTGAATTAGAATTCTGATTCCAGTCTGTTACTTGATAGGTGCAACCTGTTCTATCTGGAAGCCTCCAAGGTGAATCCTTGGAGCTCAAAAATTTTACAAGGATATCCCTATGTATGTGTTTTTCATCACTGATCTCCCCCAGAACTTCATTCTGCACACTGAAGTCTTTAGCTCAGGAAATAATTTTATGTTGTTTAATTATTCCTTCTCCATTTGTTCCTTTTTCTTCTTCTGGAACTTGTATTAGCCATGTTAGGTGTCCTGAATCGATCCAATAGGTCTCTTTTTTAAAAGTTTTTTTTTTTTGTATTTTTTTTTTGGCTCCATGCTTTGAAATATTTATTTTACTTGATCTTCCAGGTCAATAATTGTTCATACTCATTCATTCCTTTATTCAATAATTATGTTTCGGGCGCCTACTATGTGTAAGACAGTGTTCTAGGTATTAGAGTTGACAACAGATTAGCAGTGAATACAAGACAAAAAAGTTCCTGTTCTCCTGGTGCTTACACTCTAGCAGAGATAGTTTTAAAAAAAATAAGTGTGTGAGGATAAATGGAGTCAGGTGATAATAATTATTTAGGTGGAAAAATCACATTTTTTGTTCCATAAAGTCTTAAATGTGGCCCATTATTATTTTCATGTTCAAGTTTCTCTCTCCTCCAGCATTTTTTTTTTTTTTTTAAAGATGGAGTCTCGCTCTGTCACCCAGGCTAAAGGGAGTGGCGCGATCTCGGCTCACTGCAACCTCTGCCTCCTGGGTTCAAGTGATTCTCCTGCTTCAACCTCCTGAGTAACTGGGACTACAGGCGCCCACCACCGCGCCCGGCTAATTTTTTGTATCTTTTTTTAGTAGAGATGGGGTTTCCCCATGTTAGCCAGGATGGTCTCGATCTCCTGACCTCGTGATCCGCCCGCCTCGGCCTACCAAAGTGCTGGGATTACAGGCGTGAGCCACCGTGCCCAGCCTCCTCCAGCATTTCTATTTAGCTAACTCAATATATTGTTTATTCTAAGTGGTTTTTCTCTTTCAGGTTGCCTGGCTTCCCCAGATGGGTTGTTTATCTTTGTCACCTCATGGGGGATGAGATTTAGTTGTTGGAGGACCACAAGCGGTAGCAGTCTCAAGAAAATGGAAAGGCAAAGCAGTCTCTACCCCTGTGGGTAGGCAGTGCTGCAGCAGGCAAGCCACCAGCCCTTGTGGAGGCCCAGGAGGAAGCCTCCCTGCTCTCAGGTCTCCTTACATATGCCAGCCACAGGGATGGGAAGATCTCAGACCCATGGCTCTTTCCTTTTCTCCTTCCCTCCAGGAATTCATGGATATCTACCAAACCAAGTTCTTTCCTGGATTTGCCATTCTTATGCTTATCCTGAGATTTTCCAGGCTCTTGTCTAGAGGAAAAGTCCTGTACCAACTCTCCCTGACAGAGTTCTCACACAGCCCATGGCCTCAATTGCACCAACTGTTCATCAGATCCAGGAGCCACTTCACTCAAGATTGACAGATACAGGCTGGAAGCAGGAATGGAGGGATAGTGAGATATTCAAGTAGCCACCTTCCCAGAACTCACTCTGAAAAGTCAGTCCTGTTTACAGACTAATCCTAAAAGCATTAAAATCTTGGCATGTAAGTCAAAAATTTAAAGTGCCACTGTAAAGTCCAAACATCTGTGGACTGCATTGTTTTCAACTACTGCCCTAAGTATTAAGTTCTGAAGAAAAAATTTAAGAAATAAGGAAGATCTTAATGGAAGTCAAAATTAAAGGAAACTGATTAGATGGACTCTGAAAATAATTGTTATATAAAAGCAGTCAGACCAAAAGGAGTACATACTGTATGATTACATTTATATAAAATTCTAGGAAATGCAAACTAATTTGGTGACAGAAAAAGAGAACAGTGGTTGCCTAGGGACCAAGGAATTAGGTGAGTGGGGCATAAAGGGCACAAAGAAACTTCTGGGGGTGACGAAAATGTTCACTATCTTCATTATAATTATTTCATGGGCATATAAATGTCAAAATTCATCAACAAAATATACACCTTAAAGATGTACAGTTAACTTTATGTCAACTGCACCTCGATAAAAAAATACCGATGGGGAAAAACATTTGGAATTTATTTCCCAAAGGGATTGACATCCCTAAATATAAAGCATATCTAAAAAATAAAGAAGAATACCTACAGGTAACAGACATGAACAGGAAGTTCACTAAACTTTTCCGAATTTGAAATTTCCACAATAAAAAATAAAATATGTAATTTTCAGAAAAATATTAAAACACTATGTCTCACCCTCAATACAGGTGAAGAGATAAAATATAATTACAGTGTTACTGCAAGAATATTTGACTGCTGATAAATACCAATTATTTTTCTTTGTTTTTTACATTTTTCTTTTATTTTTAAAATTGAAGATGAGGTCTCACTATGTTCTCAGGCTGGTCTCAAACTCCTGGTCTACAGCCTCCATCTCTCAAAGTGTTGGGATTATAGGCATGAGTCACCATGTCCACCCATTAATACCAATTAATGATATAATCAAAGTTGGAGTAGAAGATTAGGAAAGTCATCTTGGAGGAAATAAGTATGAACTTGGTCTTGAAGTAATGAAACTGAATGTGGGTATATGTAATTTTTTTTACTGTAGGCAGGAAACAGCAGAAGAGAAGAAAGTTGAGATGAAGAAAAAAATATGAACGAAGGCAATGAAGTAAGGGGAAGATGGAGACAACTTTTAGGGCTTTTACTATAGGTTCACTGTTTCTAATATAACCATCAGAATCTTCTGTCACAAAAGGTTACATGTTGATGGAAAGAATACAGGAAAATAAATGAGATCTAATTTACCATATGAGGCTTTAGAATTTATTAAAATCATTTGTTATTTATGTACCATATTTAATCTTTGCCATGTCTATATTCTACCTATATTAGTATTTTTCTCTAGAAAGAATTTAGTTTTTACTCAGCTTCATTTCCATGAAAATGAAATATAATTTTTCTTAATATATTAAAAATATCTTACCTACCTTCAGTGATATTAAAATTCAATTATTTCACTTGCTCCATATGCCCATTTTTTTCCATCACTAACCCTTAGTCTTTAAGCATGCAGATCTAAATTTCCATTAGTTAGACTGGTACAAGTCTCCTGCGAATTGTTAAGTCTCTTATTTCTATCTCGCTGATAATTGCATCTTCCTAGAAATGTGAGGAGTGGAGAGCTACTAAAGACTGTTGGATTAAGGGTTGGGCACGGTGGCTCATGCCTGTAATCCCAGCACTTTGGGAGACTGAGGTGGGTGGATCACTTGAGGTCAGGAGTTTAAGACCAGCCTGGCCAACATGGTGAAACCCTGTCTCTACTAAGAATATGAAAATTAGCCGGGCATGGTGGTGCATGTCTGTAATCCCAGCTACTCTGGAGTCTGAGACAGGAGAATTGCCTGAACCTGGGAGGCGGAGGTTGCAGTGAGCCGAGACCACTCCACTGCACTTCAGCCTGAGCAAGGAAGCCAGACACTGTCCACCTGACAAAAAAAAAAAAAAAAAAAAAAAACAAACCAGATTGTTGGATTAAGTCAAGTTCAGATTTCTCAATTTTTAGTGCCATTTGAAAGAATATTCTACATTTGTAAATACTCTATGCGAAATAAAAAAGCAATCCAAAACAAAACGGTAGAAGAAGCAGTTAACTTTCAATTAATTTTGTTAAATCCATGAAGATAATAGAGCTTAAGAAGAACTAGTAACTACTGAAAAAACAGAGCAGCCTAGTTCAGAAAACACAAATAATTACATATATGTTTAAAGTAGAAACAGCGTGGTGTGGCGAAAAATAATGGCTTTAGAGCTACACAGCCCTTATTTTGAATTCCAAATCTGTCACTTAAATAATCTTCCTAATTTTTTGGCACCTCACTTTCCTCATTTTTAACATGGTGATAATGGTTACCTGTCCTGATTGTTGTGAGGATTAAATAAGCCACAAACCAGTGCCTGGTTTGAACACTGGCTCTGCTACTCACCATGCTCAACAATGGTAGTTGGTATTTTTACTGAAATGTTGATGACATTTTCTGGGTAAAATTGTTTCCTCTTTCAGCCTGGCCAAAGCAAGAAATTCTCGATTCTTTAAATTTACCAGCTTATAATCAATTTGTTAACCTATGCCATATGTCTAAATTCAGCCCGAAATTTAAAAATCTTTTGAATATTTTATAATACACTAAAATTACACTTAATATATTTTTATATTCCTAAATATTGCTTTGACTATAGAATTTAAAAATTAAGCAATATGCATATTTTATAGCAATTTTTATCTTTATAGAATTAAATCAGTTGAAATCTGGTGTATCTCTTGTGGGGCAAAAGTAGCAGACAGTTGACAGAAGGTTGGTATACTAAGCTAGAAAAATTTTGGAAGTGAGAGATTCTAAAAAGCCGATGATAACAGTGCTCAAATAAGAAATCAAAGTGTCTGAGATTGTAATATGAGAAAGAAGGGTCACAATCTAAACAAAGTTTTAAAATGTAAAAATCTGAAAGGAATCAAATTTGTATTCTTATATTAAGGTCTTAGATATAGTAAACAGAATTGGGAAGATATTTCAGAGAGGTATTAGTCTTTCTGACAATGGCTGGATACTGCGGGTTGGGGAAGGAGGCAGGAAAACATGCCTCACAGAGCCAACTTAAAAAAAGGATAAAGCTTTGATCCTGAGATTTTAAAGCGTGCAGATCTAAATTTCCGTTAGTTAGGCTGGTAAAAGCCTCCCATGAATTGTTAAAAGGACTAGAAAATAAAAGGCTTTTCAATCACTATAGAAAAGATTTTTATTGACACAGAGAAGCTCTTTAGTTGTCTATTTCAATCTATTTTAATGTTAGTGAATAAAAAGAGATAATCTTTTTTTTTTTTTGAGACAGGGTCTCACTTTCTCACTTTGTTGCCCAGGATAGAGTGCAGTGGCATGATAACGGATTACTGCAGCCTCCACCTCCTGGGTTCAAGCAATCCTCCCACCTCAGCCTTCCGAGTAGCTGGGACTACAGGCACACAACACCACGCCCAGCTAGTGTGTGTGTGTGTGTGTGTGTGTGTGTGTGTGTCCCTGTGTCCAGGCTAGTGTTGAACTCCTGGGCTCAAGTGTGTGTGTGTGTGTGTCCCCGTGTCCAGGCTGGTGTTGAACTCCTGGGCTCAAGTGTGTGTGTGTGTGTGTGTGTGTGTCCCCGTGTCCAGGCTGGTGTTGAACTCCTGGGCTCAAGTGTGTGTGTGTGTCCCTGTGTCCAGGCTGGTGTTGAACTCCTGGGCTCAAGTGTGTGTGTGTGTGTGTGTGTGTCCCCGTGTCCAGGCTGGTGTTGAACTCCTGGGCTCAAGTGTGTGTGTGTGTGTGTGTATGTATGTGTGTGTCCCCGTGGCCAGGCTAGTGTTGAACTCCTGGGCTCAACTGTGTGTGTGTGTGTGTGTGTGTATGTGTGTGTGTGTGTGTGTGTCCCCGTGTCCAGGCTGGTGTTGAACTCCTGGGCTCAAGTGTGTGTGTGTGTGTGTGTGTGTGTGTGTGTGTGTGTGTCCCCGTGTCCAGGCTGGTGTTGAACTCCTGGGCTCAAGAGTGTGTGTGTGTGTGTGTGTGTGTCCCCGTGTCCAGGCTGGTGTTGAACTCCTGGGCTCAAGTGTGTGTGTGTGTGTGTGTGTGTGTGTGTGTGTGTGTGTGTGTGTGTCCCGTGTCCAGGCTGGTGTTGAACTCCTGGGCTCAAGTGATCTGCCCACCTTGGCCACCCACAGTGCTGGCATTACAGGTATGAGCCACCAAGCCCAGCCAAATCACCTTTTTTAGAACATAAGCTTTCATGGGTAACAATTATTTAGTTAATAGTCTAACATCCTGTGGATTCTCAATAAAATTTAAACCTCATTTAATAGAAATTTGTCTCATAGTTTGCTCTCCTACCATTTGTATTACTTGTGAGTTACTGTTTGGAGATGCTCTTCAATACCAGTACAGGTTCCTCTCTCTATTGTGCTATAGGTCCATTTCTAAAAATTTCCTTAGAACCTTATTTTAAAGGAGAGAAAATCTTCTAAATGGCAATCTGTGTCCAGTGAAGGCAAGTTTATCAATTCAAATCTGCCTAATCCATAGGCAATATAAGATTTGAGGAGCAGGGGAGAAAATCTCGAACAATTATTTCACAAAAATACTAACCATAATATTTATTTTTATTTTTTAATACATATATTTTTAGGCTAGCCAAGTGAAGCAGTGGAAATAAATATTTAAATAAATGAATGAATGGAAATTCATATCTGATTAAGTAAATGCAATAATCAGTAAAACTTTGTTATATTGGTCCTATTTTTAAAAATCACAGTTTCGATAATGCTCACATCAAAATCTGTGGCTCAGGCACATTAAGATATAAAGTAATCTCTTCTTATTAGTAAAAAGCTAGGATTTGGCATCATGGTATAGTGGAGAGCACAAAGAATTTATAAGTTGAACATTGGCTCTGCTACTCACCATGTGGCCTGAGGCAAGTCACTTATTCACCAGCCTCAGATTATCACTAAAAAGGCAATAACCACCCACTATCCCACAGAGTGGAGAAAGGATGAAATTAATAACACTTCCATAAATGGCCTCAATCTACCTCTCTCCCTCATCTCTTATCTCTTTACCACATGCCCAATGTGCTAACTGCCCTAAACTTTTATTTCCCATGTGCTATACCCTGCTCTCATTCCTTTGTATTGTTCTTTTTATCATTGCCTCTAAACCTTCCTGCAAGAATTGTGTCCCTTCCTCTGAGATACCTGTCCAGGGTCCCGTCCAGTTAATATTATTATTCTATCATCTGTTATCCAAATCTGTTTCTTTTTCTTATTAGACCACTAAAAGTAGTTCTTATTTTTGAGTGCTGTCACATATGTATTAAGTGCTTTATAGATGGTACATAATCCCATGTAATCCTCACAACCACCCTGTAAAGCAGGTGCTGTTATTCTCTGTTTTATCAGTGAAGGAAAGTAGTCCTTGAGAAGTTAAACAGCTTGGCAAAAGTCACTCAAGTAATAATTAATAACAAATTATCACTACTAATAATTAGTAGGACTGGGATTTAAAGTGAAGTCTCTGACTCTCATTCTGCTGCCTTTGGTGGGGATCCTCCCGTACATCCTATACTTCTGTAGCCTTAGGAAAAAAGTAAGTACAATACCTGACATATTTATACTGAACATGTGTTTGGTGAATAAAAAAGGCAGGGAGCATGTCTTACTCACTGAGTTGCTTATTATGTGCCATATTTTTACCTTAGGACCTGGAGATACGAAAATGATCTGACGAAGTCCTCAAGGAGTTTATAATCAGTGTACCAGGGGAGAGAATCAAGTAAACAGATTATTATAATACAGTGTGTGGTTAAGTACTGTTTCTGAGCACACGCTGCTGAGAAAACAGAATGGGTAGGAAGAAAACAGTCAAGAAAGACGTAAGGAAAGTCCGAGTTTCTGCTTTTCCCTTCGAAACCCAGGGTTTTGAAATTAAGCAGGGTTCTAATATACAGGCATACCTTGTTTTATTGTGCTGTGCTTTATGGTGCTTCACAGATACTTTGGGGTTTTTTGTTTGTTTACAAATTTAAAGTCTGTGGCAACCCTATGTCAAGCAAGTCTTTTTAGTGCTGTTTTTCCAATAGCATGTGCTCACTTCATGTCTGTCGCATTTTGGTAATTCTTACAATATTTCTAACTTTTTCATTATAACTATACTTGTTTATGATGATCTGTGCTATTGAAATTGCTGTTACTATTGAAATTGTTTTGGGGCACCATGAACTGTGCCCACAGAAGACTTAATCCATAAATGTTGTGTGTGTTCTGACCACTCCATCAACCAGCTGCTTCCTTTTCCCTCTCCCTCTCCTCTGGCCTCCCTATTCACTGAGACACAACAATACTGAAATTAGGCCAGTTAATAAACCCACATTGGCCTCTAAGTTTTCAAGTGAAAAGATGTTGGACATCTCTCACTTTCAATCAAAAGCTTGAAATGATTAAGCTCAGTGAGAAAGGCATGTTAAAAGCCGCCAGGCCAAAAGCTATGTCTCTTGCACTAAAGAGCAAGTTGTGAATGCAAAGGAACAGTTCTTGAAGGAAATTAAAAGTGCTATTCCAGTGAACACATAAATGTTAAGAAAGCTAAACAACCTTATTGCTGATATGAAGAAGGTTTTAGTGATCTGGATAGAAGATCAAACCAGCCACAACATTCCAATATGCAAAAACCTAATCCAGAACAAGACCCTAACTCTCTTCAATTCTATGAAGGCCAAGAGAGTTGATGGGGGTGCAAAATAAAAGTTTGAAGCTAACAGAAGTTGGTTCATGAGGTTTAAGGAAAGAAGACATCTCCAAAACATAAAAATGCAAGGTAAAGCAGCAAGTGCTTTTACAGAAGCTATAGCAAGTTATCCAGAAGATTGAGCTACGATCAATGATGAAGGTGGCTTCATTAAACAACACACTTTCACTGGAGAGGAAGCAGTCTTATGTTGGAAGAAGATGCCATCTAGGACCTTCATAGCTAGAAAGGACAAGACAATGCCTCGCTTCAAAGGACAGGTTGCCTCTCTTGTTAGGGGCTAATGCAGCTGGTGACTTTAAGTTAAAGTCAATGCTCATTTACTGTTCTGAAAATCCTAAGACCCTTAAGGACTATACAACAAGCCAGGTGTAATGGTGCACATCTGCAGTCTCAGCTACTAGGAGGCTGAGATAGGACAATCACTTGAGCACAAGAGTTCAAGGCTGGCTGGGCAACATAGTGAGACTCCTGTCTCTTAAAAACGAAAAAAAAAAAAAAAGGTTTATGCTAAATCTACTCTGCCTATGCTCAGCGGAACAACAAAGCCTGAATAGCAGCTAATCTGTTTACAGCATGGTTTATTGATTTTTTTTTTTTTTTTGAGACGTAGTCTTGCTCTGTTGCTTAGGCTGGAGTGCAGTGGCCCGATCTCAGCTCACTGCAACCTCCGCCTCCTGGGTTCAAGCGATCCTCCTGTCTCAGCCTCACAAGTAGCTGGGATTTACAGGCATATGCCACCACGCCCAGTTAATTTTTGCATTTAGTAGAGACGGGGTTTCGTTATGTTGGCCAAGCTGGTCTCGAACTCCTGACCTCAGGTGATCCACCCACCTCGGCCTCCCAAAGTGCTGGGATTACAGGTGTGAGCCACTGCACCCAGCTAGTTTACCGAGTATTTTAAGCCCACTGCTGAAACCTACTGCCCAGGAAAAAAAGATTTCTTTCAAAATATTACTGCTCTTCAACAATGCACTGGTCACTCAAGAGCTCCGATGGAGATGTACAAAGAGATCAATGTTGTTTTCATGCCTGCCAGCATAACATCAACAACAGCATCTTTGATCCATCTGCAGCTTATGGATCAAGGAATTATTTCAACTTCCAAGTCTTATTACTTATGAACTACATTTTCTAAGGCTGTAGCTGCCATAGATAGTGATTCCTCTGATGGATCTAAGCAAAGTACAGTGAAAATGATTCACCATTCTAGACGGCATTAAGAACATTTGTGATTCATGGGAAAAAGTAAAAATATCAACATTAGGCTGGTGAGTGCAATGGTATTTACAACTAACTGATCATAACCAGTTACAGATTCCTTTGTTCCTTCTCTCACTCCTACTCCTTCACTTGACCAGCCTTAAAAAAAAAAAAAAAAAAATCAACATTAACATTGGGAAGAAGTAGATCCTAGCCCTCATGGATGACTTTCAGGGGTTCAAGACTTGAGTGGAGGAAATAATGCAGATATGGTGGAAATAGCAAGAGTACGAGAATTAGAAGCAGAGCCTGAAAATGTGACTGAATTGCTGCAATTTCATGATAAAACCTGAATAGATAAGGAGTTGCTTCTTATGGTTGAGCAAAGAAAGTAGTTTCTTGACATGAAATCTGCTGATGAAGATGCTGTGAACACTGGTGAAATGGCAACAAAGGATTTTAGAATATTCCATAAACTAAGCAGCAAGGTTTGAGATGATTGACTCCAATTTTGAAAGAAGTTCTGTGGGTAATATGCTATCAAACAACGTTGCATGCTACAGAGAAATCTTTCATAAAAGAGTCAATTCATGCAGTAAACTTCATTGTTGTTCTATTTTAAGAAATTGCCACAGTTACCACAACCTTCAGCAGCCCACCCTGCAGCAGCCATCAACATTGAGCCAACACTCTCCACCTCCACCAGCAAAAAGATTATTACTCACTGAAGGCTCAGATGATCATTAGCATTTTTTGGTAATAAAGTATATTTTAGAGCCAGGAATGGTAGTACATGCCTGTAGTCCAAGCTACTTAGGAAGCTGAGGCAGGAGGGGAGGATCGCTTGAGCCCAAGAGTTTGAGTCCAGCCTGAGTAACATAGCAAAATCCTGTCTTTAAAAAAAATAAAAATAATTTTTAAATTAAGGTATGTACACTGTTTTTTAAAGACATAATGCTATTGCACACTTAACAGACTACAGTATAGTATAAATAAATATCATTTTTATATGCAGTGGGAAGTCAAAAATTCATGTGACGGCCAGGCGCAGTGGCTTACGCCTGTAATCCCAGCACTTTTGGAGACTGAGGCGGGCGGATCACGAAGTCAGGAGACCATCCTGGCTAACACGGTGAAACCCCATCTCTACTAAGAATACAAAAAATTAGCCAGGTGTGGTGGCATGTGCCTGTAGTCCCAGGAGGTGGAGGTTGCAGCGAGCAGAGATCACGCCACTGCACTCTAGCCTGGTGACAGAGCGAGACACCATCTCAAAAAAACAAAACAAAACAAAAAAAACAACAATTCATGTGACTCATTTTATTGCAGTGGTCTGGAACTGAGCCCACAATATTTCCAAAGTATACCTGTACCTTTTCAAAAAATTAGATTATCTACATTCACACTTCTATTTTATCTCAAATTCCTCATCTGTCCCGTTCAAATAAATCTCATATTTAAAAAACACATTTTAAAGGATGATTTACATTCTAAATATGTTCAATTTATATGACACTACATATTTTTCTCTCCATATAAATTCAGAAGAAAAAACAATGAAAAATGCTACTGGTTATATAACTGGCCAATGTTGGAAGTGCTTGTGAAAAAACCATGATCAATTTAAGATTTTTTTTTTTTAACTTAGGAGAACAAGGGGATAAAGCTCATTGCATGAAAAGCAACTGCTCCAAAAAATCATGTTATCTTCAAAAATATTTTACTCCTAGGTTTAAAAAAACAAATAACTTTTAGATTGTTCTGACATACATTTCCCTCCTTCCTACCCTTGAATTTAACCTTATAATAAAGGCAAGTGCAATTTAGATAATATACTACCAGCAGTTGTTCACTTGCTAAGCAATAGTTTATTCAAGTAGGTATTTTCTGGGCTGTTATGGAAAATGCCAAAGTAAAAATGCTTATTAAACTCAATTTAGATTATATCTGTCACTTCTTCCTTGTTAAAAGCAATTACTATGGAAGAAAATAAATTACACCTAATAATGTCCACTCATTACAAAGTTGGGTACTATCAAATTTTTATGGCTTTTACAGGTAGTTGCTAACAGATTGAATGATTTTAACACTCTCTTATAATCTGAAGAAAGCAAATTTCTGCAAACATAATGGGACTAGTAAAGATGAAATAATAAAAAACAGTAGAGGTGGTGGAGAAAGCAAATTTAAAAAACAAATGAAATGAGGTACAGATGGACTTCGTTTGCAGCTTATGAAATTAACGAAGACAACAGCAAAGACAAAAGCCTAAAGGGATTAAACTGTAAGGGTGGAAAACATAAGCAAAGAAGGTGCAGCTTCAAATACACATTAGCCTTACTATCACATTTGGGATTAAGTAAAAAATAAGTAAATAAATAAATACACACAGGCCTGAGACAGAACCTAATTGAGCTGAAGTTGAGTTGTAGAGAATCATATTCAAGTTCAAAGCAGATTAAACTTGCTTTCCACTTTCCATCATCCTATTCAGCAAAATGAAAATAACCTTGCGGACAAAGAGTTTACATAAAATCTTTTTTCTGATATTCCCCTAATAAATTATCTCACTAGAAGGAAAAAACAAAAGGAACATTTTCCTTAAAAGTTTGCATCTTCAAACAAGATTCATAAAAATTCTCGAATGGTTTTAAGAAAAAGATAACCAACCGCTATTGACACCAAGGAATTGCAATGTGTTACATGCTATAAAGGAAAGTGAGAATCACAGAATCACGGAATTAAAAGTAACTTTGAGGCCGGACGCAGTGGCTCACACCTGTAATCCCAGCACTTTGGGAGGCAGAAGCGGGGGATCGCTTGAGGTCAGGAGTTTGAGATCAGCCTGGCCAAAAAGGTGAAACCTTGTCTCTACTAAAAATACAAAAATTAGCCGGGCGTGGTGGCAGGCATCTGTAATCCCAGCTACTCGGGAGGCTGAGGCAAAAGAATCGCTTGAACTCGAGAGGCGGAGGTTGCAGTAAGCCGAGATCACCCCACTGCATTCCAGCCTGGGTGACAGAGAAAGACTCCATCTCCAAAAACATAAATAAAATAAAATAAAAGTAATTTTGAGAGCTTATTCCCTTATTCTTAATTCATATAACTAAAGACGCTGCTCACGATTTACAGACTTGAAAAATAAGGGGCTTCAAATTACAACTATATTTAATACTATAATATTAACAAAGATTTAATTGCTTGTTTAAAAATTCAAAACCACAATTCCTCTAGCAAGTGTGAACTGTTACCATTTAAAGAAAATAATAGGGATAATCACATTCATCAAATACTTTTTTTAACCTGATGCTATGCTAGTCACCACAATGACCATCTCTTGTACTTTTGTTCTGCCATTAAAAAATTCTTAGACCATTCATTATTGAATTATAGTTTAAGCTGGTAAACTGAGGTAAAATACTGAATAACCTGAGAAATCACAAGTACAGTCAAAGTCCACGGTACAAAACTACTGAACCATGCTCCCTCTTTATATAATATTATGTAAACTGCTAAGTTTAAATGTCATCCACTCGGTGGGTTTAAAGTCTTTTCCAGATATAATCTAAACTGTGAGGAAAAAGTGAATTCTAAATTCCACATAAATTGACTTCTGTGTCTTTCTTTTTGCTTGAAAACTCTTCAAACATTGCCACTGATTCAGTTTCACCTGTTGGTAATGAACACAGAACTCATTGTGGGGAAAAACAATCCAGTGTGTGAGAAAAGTAAGAGAAGCTATCAGATACACAGGGGAGTGAAATAAGTAACTGAAAAACACCTCAACCACAACACTTTTCTCTGTCCTAAAGAAGGCATTTTGAATTTTGATATCCTAGTTACTTCTTTCATGAAACATTTTATAGGTTCCAAAAGCTCCCAAGTTGCGTACTCACCTGGTTCATCTGAATCCTGAATCCGGGCTTTTATGTCTGCTAAACTAGGCTCTTGAGAGATCGAAGCCGCTGCCCCCTCCTCTGGGTCCTCTACCTTAGTCACAGTAAAATGTGGCATTGTTATAGTTAGATAATACTTTGCTCTTTCTGTATTTAAACTTCCTTCCAGTTAGTTTTCCCTGCCTACCTCTTCCTTGCTGTCGTTTCAGACTGTGATCCCTGCCTACAAGAGACAGTGGCTGGGATTCGGGAAGTACTTTAAGCTCACGTGACCTACAGCCCTGAGGGAGTGGGGCGCTTGAAGACACGCCTTCCACAGTGTTTATCATTCACTTAAAAGGATTAAGCACTCCACCCTTGCTTATTGTTATTAACCTGAAGAACCCCAAGAACAGTTTAGCCTGCTTCCCAAAGCTGCTGAAACCTGGAGACTGGACAGAATTCACAGTGAACTACTGTCTACCGCTTGCTCCTCTATTTCCTTCACTGAAGTTGTCATTCTTATCTGCATGTCATGATCTCAACCTCTGCCCTCATATTTCACACAAGAAAGATTAGAGAACAGTTAACTTTTTTTTTTTTTTTTTTTGAGACAGGGTCTCGCTCGCCCTGTTGTCCAGCCTGGAGTGCAGTAGTGCGATCTCAGCTCACTGCAACCTCCGCCTCCCAGGTTCAAGCGATTCTCCTGCCTCAGCCTCACGAGTAGCTGGGACTACAGACATGTGCCACCATGCCCAGCTAATTTTTTTTTTGTATTTTTAGTAGAGACGGGGGTCTCACCACGTTGGTCAGGCTGGTCTCAAACTCCTGACCTCAGATGATTTGCCCACCTCGGCCTCCCACAGTGCTGGGATTAACAGGCGTGAGCCACCGTGCCCAGCCGGGAATGGTTCATTTTTATACTGTCCTCTTTAAAGACTGACTGGCACTATATCAACTTAAAATATGAAAGATACGGCTGTGCGCCGTTGCTCACACCTGTAATCCTAACACTTTGGGAGGCCAAGGTGGGCGGGTCACCTGAGGTCAGGAGTTCAAGACCAGCCTGGCCAACATGGGGAAACCCTATCTCTACTAAAAATACAAAAATTAGCCAGGCGTGGTGGTTCATGCCTGTAGTCCCAGCTGCTCAGGAAGCTGACACAGGAGAATCCCTTGAATCCAGGAGGCGGAGATTGCAGTGAGCAGAGATTGCGCCACTGCACTCCAGCCTGAGCGACAGAGCGAGACTCTGTCTAAAAAAAAAAAGAAAGAAAAAGAAAAAAATATATATGTTTAAAGAGTTCAGAACTTTTGTATTGTACAGAGTGGTTGTTTCAAAGAAAAAAAAAAAAGTCCCAGAAAATCCCTTTAAGTGGCGTACAGTTCCTTTAGCATACCCTTAAAATAACATACTTAATTCTTGATATAATTTATCAGACAACTGTATCAAGTTCTCAGCTGACGACTTTAGAGTATGAGGTTCTACCTCTGTACTTAGCAGGGGAGTTCAGTAAATTGAGCCCTGTGTAATGTCCATATTGATGATGTAGTATAAGGCCTCTGTTATTGGGAATGCCTTCCATCTGACAAGTAAGGTTGTGCTAAATTTAACTGAAGCAATGATGCTTTGAATTCTTAGTCATTCAGTTATATACCACTTCTTGCAGCACTATTCACAACAGCCAAAATATGGAATCAACTTAAGTGCCCATTAACACATGAGTATATGAAGAAAATGTGGAATATATATACAACAGAATACGATTCAGCCATAAAAATGAAATCATGTCATTTGCGGCAACACGGATGGAACTGGAGGTCATTATGTTAAGTGAAATAAGCCAAGCATAGAGAGACAAATATCACATTTTCATTCATACGTAGGAGCTAAAAATGTGGATCTCATGAATATAGAAAGTAGAATGGTTGTTACCAGAGGCTAGGAAGGGTAGGGGGGAAGGAGGATTAAAGAGGAAAAAAAGAAGGTAAATATAAAAGCACAATCACGTTGATAACTGATTTATGCTAGCAAGAATACTGGCCTTGTTTTGGAATAAACAATTTTTTTTTTTTTTTTTTTAAAGAAAAAGCTAGGCTGGGTGAGGTGGCTCATGCCTGTAATCCCAGCACTTTGGGAGGCCGAGGCGGGTGGATCAAGAGGTCAGGAGATCAAGACCAACCTGGCTAACACAGTGAAACCCTGTCTCTACTAAAAATACAAAAATCTTAGCCAGGCGTGGTGGCGGGCGCCTGTAGTTCCAGAAGGCTGAGACAGGAGAATGGCATGAACCTGGAAGGTGGAGCTTGCAGTGAGCCAAGATCACGTCACTGTACTCCAGCCTGGGCGACAGAGCAAGACTCGTCTCAAAAAAAATAAATACAATAAAATAAAATAAAATAAAATAAAGGAAAAGAAAACCCTACAAATATATACCACTTCTAAAAGAGAAGGAAAGCAATAAAGACCTAGTTTGTACTCTGCATTGCACTAGAAACTTTACATCACGATCTCATTTAATCAACACGAAAACAGAAACATTAGACTAAGAAACTTGCCCAAAGTCACCATTGTAAGTGGTGAAACTCAACTTTAAAACCTCTAATGCCCTGAGGTAGGCAACATAGAGTATGTTTCAAAGAAAGAAAACTCATATACACTCACCTAAATTTTATTTCATTGGTTCTTAATAGCACTGGTTTGGCTGCACAGGTTCTCTCCTACGGTGAACTATATATAAAAGTGCAGGGGCATAGAAAATTGAAGGCAAAGTTAAAGTAGTACAGAAAAAGCTGAGAGAAAACTAGTAAAGCTGAGGTGTGTGATGTGCATGGAGAGTGATTAAAGAAGGTGGGATGTGAGAAATAGCTATTTAAAGTACAATACACTATCACAATGAGGTTATCACTACACTCACCAAGATGGCTAAAATTCCTAAGACCAAAAACACCAAATTTGGCAAGACTGTGGAACAAAAAGAACTTTCATACACTGTTGTTGGGGGTATAAATTAGTACAACCACTATGGAAAAGGGTCTCACACTTTCCCCTATAATCTGGCAATTCCACTCATAGGTATTTACCCTTAAAAATGAAAATATATTCCCACAAAAGGACTTGCACAAAAATGTTCACAACAGTTTATTCATAATATCCAAAAACTGGAAACATCTTAGGTATACATTCACAAGAGAATGGATAAAGTGTGATATAGTCATACAAAGGATTACTATTCAGCAATAAAAAGGAATAAACTAGATATGTTCAACAACATGCATGAATCTCAAAAACATTACGGCTAGGTGAAAGATGCTTTAAACAGAAGAGTACATAATATGTGAATCCACTTTTATAAGGTTTTAGAACAGACAAAACTAACCTATGATGCAGAAAAAGCAGGACAATGGCTGGATCTGGAAGAATGGAAATACAGATTAACTGGGACTGGGCCTGAAAGAACTTCCTAGAGTGATGGTAATATTCTACATCTTGATGGGGTTTAGGATTCCACAGGTGCATGCATTTATCAAAACTCTGCCAATGTTCACTTAAAACTCGTGCCTTTGCCGGGCGTGGTGGCTCACACCTATAATCCCAGCACTTTGGGAAGCTGAGGTGGACGGATCACCCGAGGTCAGTTCGAGACCAGCCTGACCAACAGGGAGAAACATTGTCTCTACTAAAAATATAAATTAGCTGGGCGTGGTGACACATGCCTGTAATACCAGCCACTGGGGAGGCTAAGGCAGGAGAATCACTTGAACCCGGGAGGCAGAGGTTGCGGTGAGCCGGGATCATTCCACTCCAGCCTGGGCAACAAGAGTGAAACTCTATCTCGAAAAAAAAACAAAAACAAAAACTCGTGCCTTCACTGTACGAAAAGTTTACCTCAAAAGAAAAAAAGCTGCAGTTACTGAATTCTAATTCATAATTATATGAATTCTAATTTATAATTCATAATAATGCATTGTGAAGTATTTGTGGGAGGTGAACTGATTCTGCAATTTACCTTAAAATGCATACAATAGGATAGATGGACACATATGTAAAAAGACAAGTATAATAAAATGTTAATGATAGTATCTAGGTGGTGGGTGTATGGGTGTTCACGATGAAAGTTTTTCAAGCTCCTGTATGCTTGAAAATTTTCATAATAGGCTGGGCGTGGTGGCTTACACCTGTAATCCCAGCACTTTGGGAGGCCAAGGTGGGCAGATCACTTGAGGTCAGGAGTTTGAGACCAGCCCAGCCAACATTGTGAAACCCCGTCTCCACTAAAAACACAAAAATTAGCCAGTCGTGATGGTGAGCGCCTGTAACCCCAGCTACTCGGGAGGCTGAGGCAGGAGAATCGCTTGAACCCAGGCAGGTGGAAGTTGCAGTGAGCTGAGATTGCACCACTGCACTCCAGCCTGGGCGACAGAGTGAAACTCTGTCTCAAAAAAAAAAAAAAAAAAAAAAAAAAGGAAAGAAAGAAAAAAATAAAAGAAAATTTTCATAATAAAATGTTGAAAAAATACAATGGACACCATTATGAAAATGAATAGGCAAGTCACAGACTGGGAGAAAATATTCATAAAACATATACTTGACAAAGGAGATCTGTATCTAGAAGACATAAAAATTCCCTACGCCTCAATAATATGAAGACAAATAAAATGGGCAAAAGATTTAAACAACTGACAAAGGAAGATATGCAAACCACTAAAAACCGCTGAAACAGTGCTCATCCCTGGCCATCAGGGAAATGCAAATTAAAATCACAATTTAAAACAATGGTCCCCAACCCCTGGGCCATGGACTGGTACTGGTCCCTGGCCTGTTAGGAACGGGGCCCGCACAGCAGGAGGTGAGAGGCAGGCAAGCATTACCGCCTGAGAGCCGCCTCCTGTCGGATCAGCGGCAGCATTAGATTCTCATAGGAGCGCCAACCCTATTGTGAACAGCAATTCCGAGGGATCTAAATTATGTGCTCCTTATGAGAATCTAATGCCTGATGATCTGAGGTGGAACAGTTTCATGCCAAAACCATGCCTGTCCCCGACCTTAGTCTGTGGAAAAACTGTCTTCCATGAAACCAGCCTCTGGTGCCAAAAAGGTTGGGGACTGCTGATTTAAAAGACTGTTGGCATCCAGGCATGGTGGCTCAGGCCTGTAATCCCAGCACTTTTGGGGGCCAAAGTGGAAGGACTGCTTGAGCTCAGGAGTTTGAGACTAGCCTGGGCAACATGGCGAAACCCTTTCTCTACCAAAATTCAGAAAAATTTAGCCAGGTTTGCTACTGAATACCTGTAGTCCCAGCTGAGGCAGGAGGATTGCTTGAGCCTGGGAGGCTGAGGCTGCAATGAGCCCTAATTGTGCCACTGCACGCCAGCCTAGGTGACAGAGTGAGATCTTGTCTCAAAAAAAAAAGACTTTTGGTAAAGATGTAGCACAAACATTGGTGGGGAGTGTAAAATGGCACAATCATTTTGGAAAAAGTTCCAGTAGTTTTTTTATAAATCAAAAACATATGCCTACCCTAAGACCCAGCAATTCTTGTTCTCTGTATTTTTACCCAAGAGAAATAAAAGCGTAAGTCCACAAAAATTCAAACAAATATGTATATAACAGCTTTATTCATAAAAACCCAAGCAGGAAACAGCCCAGATATCCATCAATAAAATAATCAACCTGCAGTACATGGCATACGATGAATTATTATTCAACGATAAACAGGAATCATACAGGTATGAAATATTTACATTTGTATACTTTAAAAAAATTATGGTATTTTTAAGTAATAAGATATAAAGGTCAGGCCAGGGCAAAAGGGGCATTTATAATGGCATTACTCCCATAGTGCTTTATATATTAGGCCAAATCTTACACATATTGTATTTATGTTATTAATTAGTTTCAGTAAAACACATTATTTGTGACTATATTATACCTGCTAAAAATAGTTAGCATGCCCATTCTTCAGAGGAATGGGTCTATTTTGGGGTAGTATTTTGATACTGCAACTTAATATGTTACACTAGCATAGCTCAGAACTCATAATAACCACTGTTCTGTTTTATTAAACCCATTTATTAAAAAAAAATTTTAAGTTAGATTTAGTGAAAAGATTGAAACAATTAAGGGAAAGTCAGTGGGAAATTATTTTCAATATAAGGATTCTCTATCAGAGGGCTACCGGTAGGGAAAGAGCACTCTATATCCCATACTCCGTACCCTCTCGAGTGTGGTATCATTTAGAAGGTTAGGCGAACATGAAAGGATGTGAACCACTGTTTTAGAACACTGCTTTGCAAATTATCTCTGGTAAAGAACTTTTTTTTTCTTTGAATTTCCAATTCATTATGGGCCAATAATTTTGTTAAAAAATAGTAAAAATGAATTACTAGAAAAATAAAATAAATATATATCAAATATAAGCCCCAATTTGTTATTATTAGATTTGACAGACATAAATTTGTTCTATCAAACTGCTATGCAAGTTTCTAAAAACTCAATTTCTGAACTTATCTCCTCACAAATAATAAACAGCTCATGGGCCAGCACTGTCTCGTACTACACTCTGAATAGTTCTGTGTTAGAAAATGCTATAAACATCTTACAGGAGAATGAGCTGTTCACCACTTACATTTAGGGCTACTACTATAGCAGAGCCTGAAAGGTATAGTCTCATTCTTAAGTAGAAGATGTATACACATTTTCCTTATTTATCATATTCAGCAAACCCTCTTATCCCTCTGCAACTGAGACAGGAAATATTAGTGAAAAATATAAAAAAGATCACAAATTCTAAATTTTGCCTTACTATGTATAAAATTATTAAAAGAATTGAATGCATCAATTACTTTGGTAAAGACCAACTATCATGGGATGGTAAGGACTTACAGCTTAAGTCTTTTAAATCTTGACTTGAAACTGTCTATGAAAATGCATTTTTATGAAATGTTATCAGTGGTGAATATATAATGAATTTGGAGGCTAAAACTAAAAATAGAAGAATTAAATGTCATACATCAGAAATGAAACCCTGAGTAACTGAATGTCTGTGTTCATAGCTGCCAGTGCTACCTCTTTGGTTGGTGATTTATATATTTATAAATATATAAAAGACATTATTTTCTGGTGGATTCATCATATTGTAGAGTAAGAAAGGCAAAGAGTTCTCCAAGTTAAAGCCTCAGGAAAATCTCATGCTTTAACTGAGGCTGAAAGGATCATGCATTCACTCAATAATATTTGAGTGCCCACTAAGTGCCAAGAAATAGGAATGAAATGGAGAGCAAGACACTGTTCCTGCCCAAGGAGCTCACAGTCTTATTATCCAAATTAACTATAGACTCAAAGGCAATACAAAACTAGGATTATACGTCCAATGCACTATAATTAGAGAATGAACCTTGAGAACACAACACACCACCACCTGCCCAGCTACTTTTTCAACTTCCTAAAAGTTGTGTCTTCACTAGAGGAAAGAATAGAGTAGGATAGTTGATGGCTAGCTAATTTGATAGCTACTTCAGCCATTTTGGCCGCTGATCCAAATACCAAAGCAGGCATTATCAAATGCCTCTGAGTCCTCAGTTGCCACTGTTGCCTCTTTCAGCATATCACAACTCTTTATAAAAGGTTGCCACCTTTTTCCTTAGTCTAATGTCAATATAGCCCAGGTATGACAGATAGGACCTGAGAATCCCAACCAAAGAGGGTAGCACTGGCAGCTATGAAGACAGACATTCAGTTACTCAGGGTTTCATTTCTGATCTAAGATATTTCATTCATCCATTATGAAATGCTTGCTAGATTAAAAACGGGCTCCTAGTCAACACAAAAAAAGTGTATAGAAAATAAACCTGACATTAAGCAACATATTGTTAAAACTAAGGACATATTTCTAAAAATGTGAGGAAAGGAAAATGAAAACACAATCCAAAACAAAATTTTTTAGATCTATTGAGACTTGGGTCAAAATCTTCATTAGCTTTAGGACAGAATGATTAATGTAACTAAATCAATAACTGTTGATGTAACTCAGCACTACTACACTGCTCTAGGCACATAATTTGTGTAAAAGACAATGAAATACCTATTCTTATGCCAGATTTCTTTTTACGAACATAGAATCTAAGTTATTCAGAGAATATGTCATTTTATTACTTTTTTTTTTTTTTTTGATACAGGGTCTTGCTCTGTCACCCAGGCTGGAGTGCAGTGGCATGATCATGGCTCACTATAGCCTTGACCTCTCGGACTCAAGCAATCCTTCCATCTCAGCCTCCCAAGTAGCTGGGACTACAGGTGCACACCACCACAACTGGCTGCTTTTTTTTTTTTTTTTTTTTTTTTTTTTTGTAGAGATGAGGTTTCACTATGTTGCCCAGGCTAGCAATTATGTCTTAATAAATGTTTCAATAGGGCCAACTATTATTAGCATACCAGAGAAAATGCAGTGTAATGACAAAAATTCTGGTCTTGGAATTACATGTGCCTAGGTTCAATCATTATTCTTCAACTTATTATTTGTATGACCTTGGGCAAGTTACTTAACCTTATCAACCTCAGGTTTCTCCTGGATAAGAAAAATTTCATCTTAGTACAGAATAAAATGACTTTTTAAAAAATGAAAAAATACCAAAACTGATCATTTTTCAAAAGGGGAAAGAACTGACCTCATCTAATAGGGAAGAATATTTTTCTATTCCTATCAATTCTTAAAATTTCATTTGAAATGTAGCATGCTGCTGAACCAGAAAAAAATAAATAAACCAAACATAATCTTTTGTTTGCATCTTAGGATGTAAATTAGCCAGCTGTAAAAAAGGCTGTTAAAAAAACAAACAAACAACTTTAGCCAGGCACAGTGGCTCACGCCTGTAATCCCAGCACTTTGGGAGGCCGAGGCAGACAGATCATGAGGTCAAGAGTTCGAGACCTAAACATGGTAAAACCCCGTCTCTACTAAAAATACAAAAATCAACCGGGCATGGTGGCATGCGCCTGTAATCCCAGCTACTCAGGAGGCTGAGGGAGGAGAACTGCTTGAACCTGTGAGGCGGAGGCTGCAGTGAGCCGAGACCGCATCACTGCACTACAGCCTGGGCAATAGAGCAAGACTCTGTCTCAAAAAAAAAAAAAATTAGATATGGTAAATGCAAATGCTCTCAAAATAGAATAAAAGTAAATTTTGGTTAGATTCAATTTCTCATAGCTCCTCAAAGTGAAAACGTGGATGTGTACATAAGAGTTTTTAACTTATTAGTGTTCTCTCTTCTCTCTTTTTTTAAACTAGCAATATGAAAAATAAATAGCTTTACCCCAAAGTAAATGTAGACCTGTCTGGTAAAATGAGAGAAATTCAGGTGCTACTTTGCCAAAAATTAAAGTTATTTACCAAATGGTTATGACTATAAACAGGTGAATGTCATCAATTGAGTTTTTTGCTCAAGGCCACGACAAATATAATGAGGATTAGCAATGCCGTAATAAAACTACAAACAAAAAGCTGCCATTGGTTAAATTAGCTAGAAAACTGGAGACTGAAACCCAGCTCTGAGCTAAGATAACAGGAAATTTTAAAAAGAAAAAAAAAAAGACTAAAATTAGAAGACCTGTCATTTCCTAACAATGTGGCTTTTGTTTTCTATTTCTACAGTTTTCAACTACAAAAACTGAAATTTTAAGAAGAAAAAAACTTCAGCCGTTACATTTTTTTCAGTTAAGACATCCAAAGGTAACTTCAAAACTTCAGGTTTCGCAAAGCCCCTCAGACTGACTTATTTACAATACTGACTTGATTCTGAAATCTTGTTAAGTATAAATTCCACTTTAACAGTAGCTTAAAAATTCTTCAAAAGTAAGACGCACCTGAATATCAGAAATGTTAAAATATGGTAATGTACACACCTTAGAGCTGAGCAAATATGGTGATAGTGTTTCCTACTCATCAGGTACTGAACTACCATTAAGGCAAGGTGCTGTATGCATGTGTATATGTTGTATGTTCTGCAGTTTTGTGCTTGTACCTTCAAATGTAATTGTTGAGATTCTTAAAAGTATACCAGGGCCAGGTGCGGTGGGTCACACCTGTAATCCTAGCACTTTGGGAGGCCGAGATGGGCAGATCGCTTGAGCTCAGGAGTTCGAGACCAACCTGAGCAACATGGCAAAACCCCATCTCTACCAAAAGCCAATACAAAAGTTAGCTGGGCATGGTGGTGCATGCCTGTAGTCCCAGCTACTCAGGAGGCTGAGGTGGGAAGATGGCTTGAGCCCAGGAGTTCAAGACTGCAGTGTACTACAGTTGTGCCTCTGAATAGCCACTGCCTACCCAAGTCCAGCCTGGGTAACAGAGCTAGACCCTGTCTCAAAAAATAAAAACATATATACACTGAAGCACTAATTACAGGGTTTTAACAGAGAATAGCTTCTTGTTTTTCCACATACTTGTAAAACTTATAAAACTTCATTAAAAGAATACATTGTTTTAACATTCAAATGCTCACATAATTCCTACACTATAGCTCTCCAAACTTTCATACCTACTCCTCAGAAACACACATCACCAAAAACTTAAACTCATGTAACTTCATTATTCTGAAACAACAAGCTCACCAGCTACAGCTGTGTAGACAGTGCACGAGGGCATTAAGCCAGAAGGGCAAGGGGAAGAGGGTTGAAATCCAGCTTGCCCTTCTCCAGTGAAGTCATGATGGCTCAGGGCACAAAGGAGTGCCTTTTTAGAATTTGCACAAAGTTCTTAGTAGTCCAGAAGTATATGTTAGACACGAAGGGCAAAAGAAGCAGCAGCCATAATTCAAAAGCTTACAGCATTATAAGTTGCCTTAAACATCAGCATTAGAAACATTCCCCTTCTTCTAACAGCTTTAAAATGGGAAAGCATAACTTTCATAAGGTTCCCAGGTTTGCAGGAGTACCTTCTTTCATTTCCTTCCATTCCAGTAAAGGTAATATCAAAATTTATGAGAATCTGGAATCTAGAAACATGCCACTGAGAACAAAAGAATTTGGGCTCATGATGGAAAGACTTAGTGAGGACACAGAAGAGACCACCGAAGATCAAAGACAAGAAGTTGAGGTAATCACTGTATTGATCACTGATATTTAATCAAATATCTACAGCATTCTAGGACACACTCAAAAGAAAATCCTTTAATTGTAATTTAACCTTTTTAAAAATTGGCCAGGCATGGTGGCTCATGCCTGCAATCCTAGCACTTTGAGAGACCCAAGTGAGAGGATCACTTGAGCTCAGGAGTTCCCAGACATCTTCAAAGATAAAAGCTAAGAAATAGTAAAATGTACCTTTTACTCTACTTCAACAAATTATAAACATTTGCTAATCTTGTTTTGTCTATCTCTCCCCAACTTTTTTGGGGAGGAGTGGGGAGGAAGGAGCTGGAGTACATTTCATTTAACCTGTAAATACTTCAATATATATCTTTATAGATAACAGCTTTACATTATCACAATGTCATAAACATCTATAAGAAAATTAACAATTCCTTAATATTAATATCATGTACATGTTCAAATTTCCCCCACTCGTCTCAAAAGTATCTTTTTTCAATTGTTTTATGCACATCAGAATCCAAACCAAGTTCACACACTGCATTTGGCTGATAC
The DNA here is from genome assembly GCF_000001405.40 of Homo sapiens. NCBI lineage: Eukaryota > Metazoa > Chordata > Mammalia > Primates > Hominidae > Homo > Homo sapiens. The sequence continues at coordinate 68,920 of NW_025791798.1, forward strand.
GGCTCTTTTTATCTGTAACAGCTTTCCCTCTCTTCCCATCACTCCTCCTCCACCCCATCCCAATTATTTGTTGAAGAATCTAGTTATCCAATAAAACTTCCCATATTCTGGATTTGGCTGATTGCTTCTTGTGGTATAAAGCAGTATATTATAAAGTTTAATCTGGCTACAGAGTATAGAGAAGAGAGGAAAAACAGTTAAGGTATATAACCAGCTGGGCGCGGTGGCTCACGCCTGTAATCCTAGCACTTTGGGAGGCTGAGGTGGGCTAACTGCTTGAATGCAGGAGTTCGAGACCAGCCTGGGCAACATGGTAAAACCTTGTCTCTACAAAAAAAAAATTAGCTGGTCATAGTGGTGTGCACCTGTGTTCCCATCTACTCAAGAGGCTGAGGTGGAGGACTGCTTGAGCTCAGAAAGTTGAGGCTGCAGTGAGCCGTGATCACACCACTGTATCCAGCCTGGTTGACAGAATGAGACCCTGTCTCAAAAAAAAAACAAAAACAAAAACAAAAAAAACAAAACTATCAAGAGGATGCTTCTTTCAGACAAGCTAAGAAGGTACCAAATCAACATATTTTAGCTATTAGAATGCTGAGGTAAAACATGGATAGTATTCAATAATTATATAATATAGAAGACTTATTTAAGAGAAAGGTAATAGTCCATCCTGGCCAACATAGTGAAACCCTATCTCCACTAAAAATACAAAAATTAGCTGGGTGTAGTGGCACGTGCCTGTAGTCCCAGCTACTGGGGAGGCTGAGGCAGAAGAATCACTTGAACCCAGGAGGCGGAGGTTGCAATGAGTGGAGACCGCACCATTGCACTCCAGCCTGGGCGACAGAGTGAGACTCTGTCTCAAAAAATAATAATAACAATAATAATAATAAGTAATAGTCACCTATGATTAGCAAAACAATATAATTCACTTATTTTGGTGTGTGACTAAAAATGATAATTTTGTTTTTTGTTAGGTTTTGTTTGTCAGGGTAGAGGTATTTATTTATTTGAGACAGAGTCTCGCTCTGTCATCCAGGCTGCAGTGCAACTTCCGCCTCCCAGGTTCTCATGCCTCAGCCACCTGAGTAGCTGAGATTATAAGCATGCACCGCAACACCTGGCTAAGTTTTCATATTTTTAGTAGAGACGGGGTTTCACCATGTTGGCCAGGCTGGTCTCGAACGCCTGGCCTCAAGTGATCCGCCCGCCTTGGCCTCCCAAAGTGCTGAGATTACAGGCGTGAGCCACCGCGCCCAGCCTAGAGGCATTTTTTGAAAAGCTCTCTAGATCATTCATTATGCAGCCAGATGAAGTAGCACTACTCTCGTACATACATTAATATGCCTTTATCAGAGTACGTTTTTAATTTGTCTCTTGTTTTTAAGTCTACAAGATCTTCAACTCAATGTATATTTATGGTGTACAAGTTATATGTGATATCACATATTACACTAGGTGTAAATGATTTTGTATCCTTGTCCTCAAGAACCCTACAGCATAGTTGAGAAAGATAATATGTAAATAAAAACAAAATATAGTGATATAGGTATTATAGCAATATAGGGACAAAAAGAGCCTGGTTTATTATATCTGGATATGGGGTTCAATCAGAAAAGGTTTCAGAGAGGACATGACTCCTTAAAGAAAGGACTTATCTAAATTACTTTTATGTCTCTAACATCTCTCACAAAAACTTGGTTAACAGCCAGTCTCAAAGTTGTTACACTTAGACCTCAACTCTCCACTTCAGAAACCCACTCCAAGGCTACACACTAGATCACATTACATGAGAAATGCTCTACCTCTGAAATTGCTCACTCCAACAACATTCAACCGTCTGACCACAGTCTTTAATCTTTCTACACTTTTCACCACACTTTACCTTATCAAGTCCTCCAGTCTCTTAAGTGTCTCTATTTTATCTTAGTTGATCATTTTCCTTTGCCGTATTTTTGCATATTTCTATTGTTGGACTTATACAGCATTATAATTTATATACAAATGTGTTTGCTTTGTCTATTAGATCATAACTTTCCTTAGAACAGATTAACGGATGCTTTTTCTCTGTCTTTAACACCCAACATCTTTAACAGCCAGCCAGTGCCTTATCCTTAACTCATTGCTCAGAGTAACAAATATTTGGTGAAGGAATAAGTAAAGTGCTCTAGTCATTTTCACCATTATACCATGAGATCTGCAAAGGTAGAAACTATATGTTACCTGTATATTTCCTACAATTAATACCAGACTGCCTCATACATACCAGCGTCTCAGGGAGTATCTGTTGACTTATAAAAGGTTGAAATGTATTAGGGACTGCAGGCAGGGTGTATGGTTCACACCTGTAATCCCTGAGCTTTAGGAGGCCGAGGCAGGAGGATCATTTGAGGTCAGGAGTTTGAGACCAGCCTGGCCAACATGGTGAAACCCCATCTCTCCTAAAACACAAAATTTAGCCGGGTGTGGTTGCAGATGCCTGTAATCCCAGCTACTTGGGAGGCTGAGGCTGGAGAATCACTTGGACCAGGGAGGTGGAGGTTGCAGTGAGCCGAGATAGCGCCACTGCACTCCAGCCTGGGCGACAGCGCGAGACTTTGCCTCAAAAAAAAAAAAAGAAAAAGAAAAAAAGTATTAGGTCCTGCAAATGACATATAAAAATATGTTTTATAGCCACATGGTTATAAAGCACATGTAAAAAATGTTCATCATAGCAGAGGCAAAATGATGCAAGAAAGAGCACTAGATAAAAGTCAGGAGGCCTGAACTTCAGTCTTGGCTTTGCCACTTTGTGATCTACAAATAACCATCTCTATAAGCCTTAGTTTCCTCATTTATTTTGTTATTTTTTTAGTCTAATCTATTGGGGTTTTAAGTCTCCTCACTTATTAAAATGTGGTTTGATCAGAATAAGATTCTAGATCATTAGCTCTAACATGTGGTGCTTTTCAAAAAAATTACTATAAAAGTGATACACTATAAATACTTAAAAGTTGTATATGCCCTTAATTGTTTTGGTAAAAGAAAATTCCACTCTATTTTTTTTTCTTTTTCTTTTTTTTTTTTTTTGAGACAGAGTCTCGCTCTGTCACCCAGGCTGGAGTGCAGCGGCGTGATCTCAGCTCACTGCAACCTCCGCCTCCTGGATTCAAGCAATTCTCCTGTCAAGGCCTCCCGAGCAGCTGGGATTACAGGCGCACGCCGTCACGCCTGGCTAATTTTTTGTATTTTTAGTAGAGACAGGGTTTCACCGTGTTCCCCAGGCTGGTCTCGGACTCCTGAGCTCAGGGAATCCACCCGCCTCGGCCTCCCAAAGTGCTAGGATTACAGGCGTGAGCCACCGTGCCTGGCTCCACTCTATTTTTGTAACTCACTTTCCAGAGGCATCCACTCTCAACAGTTTCTTTTGTATCTTTAAGGCGTTCTTCATACATAAGCTAATACACTGCTAAGATTCTTGATTTTACCAACTGGACAGTCCTATAAATTCAAATGGAGCCTTGCCAAAATGAAAGAAAAATTACTTTGATAGCAGAAAGAAAACTACTCAGAAAGCCAACAGCAGAAAAAATTAAAATATACTGAAATAAGTATTTAAAACTTCATGTAGGGCTGGGCGCTGTGGCTCACGCCTGTAATCCCAGCACTTTGGGAGGCCAAGGTGGGTGTATCTCCTGAGGTCAGGAGTTTGAGACCAGGTTGACTAACATGATGAAACCCCATCTCTACTAAATACAAAAAATTAGCCAGGTGTGGTGGTGCATGCCTGTAATCTCAGCTACTTGGGAGGCTGAGGCAAAAGAATCACTGGAACCCGGGAGACAGAGATTGCAGTGAGTGGAGATTGCGCCCTTGTACCCCAGCCTGGGCAACAAGTGTGAAACTCCATCTCAAAAAAAAAAAAAACAAAAAAAACTTCATGTGTCACCTCCTGTTTGTGTGATGTAATGTGAGTAGAAGACATATGACAAGAAACTTCGGGTGGGAAGTTTCTCTACAGGAAGAAACGTGGGAGGCATGGGGGAAAGGAGAATCATACTAATGTCACAACCACAGAAGGATGTACAAAGGGTGAAAAAATTCAGAGAACTGTAAATACTAAAATAGCAAACTAACTGTGAAATGCACTATGAGCTTAAGGAGAGTCAACTGTAGAAAGGATGCAGTTGTTATCTATATTAAAGCCAGCCTAGAGGGAAGTGTATATTAACATTAGGCCCTTTTCTTCACAACAGCACCCTTTGAAGATCTACATCTAAATCTAACAAGGGCTTTCACATACTGAGAAGTCAAGGGTGAAATAATTGTGTTTCTAAGTGGTTTCTTCTAATGGTGGGGAAAATTTATCACATGATGACAGTCATCATAAGAATTTTTTTAAATATAGAAAGAAAAAAAAAGAGAAAAGGTAGGTCACTGAGAAAGTATAAAGTTCCACGAGAATAGGGCAAAGTCCTCTCTAATGGCCAGACTATTAATTTCCCTTTCATCTGGGTACCGGAGAATATTTAAACATTAAGTAAGGAATGTGTTATATAGAGAACCAAGCTTTTAACATCTGTAACCACGTAAACAAACATAAATTTCACTTAGATATGTCCCCATTTTTACCCCTGTAGTCCCATTTTTACCCCTATAGTGTAAAAGGATACCACTTTAGACTGTAAAGAATGCTTAAGGGTAACGTAAGAACCGCAGACTGGACAAGGAACCTGTTCTGCTGGTCTAACACATTACTAAGTCCACTTTTCCAAAGAATAAAAATACAATTCTGTAACATGTAAGTCACAAGTCTAACAAACTAAACTATAAATTACCTAATGATAATTACAATATTAAGAAATTAACACTGGTATAGTCTTTACCTGGAATTTTTACAACCTAAATACAGCATGATGGATAAAAACTAAAACCACAATTTGGAATTAATTTGGAGGAAGAGGAAATGATAAATTTGTATTCCATACTGTAATTTTAATCCAGTGTATGACACACTGTAAAATTTGTCAAAAAGTTGAAAACAGTAAAGTCTGAGAACCAACCTATGTCTCCATAAAAGAAAAAATGATTAGTCAAGGATGAGTGAATTCTAGGACTGTAAACTTTACCAAATCTACCTTGTCTCCAGATACTAAAAACACAAACAGAATTAGGGAACTAAAATCATTCTGGTTTCCTGAACCCTTTAGGTTAAAAGGAACAATATTTCCTGACACCGGAAAATGGTGAGTAAGCCTTGCTTTCACAAGTCAGTGGGTGAGGCTATGGTTTTCAAACTTGGGTGGAATATTATTTTAAGAGTCTTTAAGGGAAATTTTTATCATTAAAAGATTACATTAGTTACAACACAGCATAAAACTAAATATATAAAGCAGTACAGGTCTCAAACTTTTAAATTTCAGAGTCCAAAAAATGTTATGATCTCCCCATTTTCTCTCTTCTCTCTCTTCCATCACCTCTTCCCAGTACCTCAAATAAAACCAAGCCAGCTGACACACACAAACTGGTTTAGGAAGCTAAAGGTCTGTAGCAGTCAACATGAGCCAGGAGTGGCTTGTGTGCTACCTGCTAACTCTAATCATCAGACTTTCCATCTAAAGCTCAGAGAGAATAAATTACATGGGAATCAGGCCCTAAAAGCCTTTTCAGAAGTCTTCCATTTGACAGAATAGCACATTAGGTCTACCCACCATCACCCTGAGTGGGCTTAGCTACTTGTGTCAAGGTCTCCATAAAAATACAGATTTCAAAAAAGAATTTTGCAATACACATTCGAAGTCTTGGAGGAAAGCTGCTAAGATACGACCAGTAACTACTCCATGAAACCAGTCTTAAAGCAGACTGAAATAGCCAATGATGGCTACAGAACACATATCCAACTCACTAAATTTTAAAATTTAGGATTCTGTGTGCTGAAAACGATTACATTCTTTGATATTCACCTTTAACCAAAATACCCATTTCATTTCTAAGAAGACAAAAATGAGGAAGTTAAAATATACATTTGCCTTCCTTCTTGTCATACACCTTCCCACATACCAAATTACTACTGCAAAGAGCCACTATGCTATTATTCCAAAGAGTTCCTAAGCATCTCACAAAGAGATGCCTTGGTTCCTGATGACTATTATAATCATAATTATATGATTATGATCTTCCAGATCCATAGATGGTCATCTTGGATAAAGAACCCAGTAATGAAAGTATGCTGCGGTCTGTGTTTCTACTTACCCTCGATGACATCCTGGGGGTGAGAAGTCCGGTCACTGGGTGGATCCAGTGCAACAGTTGCCAGCGAAGTGGTGGCCCCAGACATCTCACTCATAGGCTCACTCCGGCTTGTTTCAGGCACGCTTTCCCGGGAGCTAAATCTTACTCGGGAACTAGATCGAGAGCTGAGGTCCGGACTGGTGTCTGACAAACCTGGAATGTCATCGATCTTTGTCGGTGTCACCATGAACCGAACTGAAGCCATCTTGGTGGTGGTTTCTGGAGGATGCATTTTGTTCTTTTTAAGAACAAAAAAAGTGGGGGGAACCTCGCAAAATCTTCCTCTTACGCTAGCTACTTTTGACTGCAATACAAAAGATAACTTGAAAAATAACACATTTCAATAACCTTGATTCACACCACACAAAAAGCCCCAACTAAGAATACTTCTACTCAGAATTCAAGCCGACTGTCCTAGAAAGTGCATCACCAATAGGTGAATATATTTTTTAAGAGAGAAAAAAACAAAAAACAAAAAGACAAAACAATGCCAATCTTGTGTGACTTCTTTCCTTCAGAATGAAGAGCTACCTAGCTAACCCCTCTGGTCCGGGGCTGAAGGCTCAGTGCCATGGTCTCAGGGCAGCAGATGAAGCCTCCCTCCCCTCAGCCCCCAGTTTCCTGTCGAGGTAGTCCTTTATCTGGTGAGTGTCCCACGGTTCTAGTTGGGCGAAGTGCGTGCAGGCAAACCTTTATCAGGCGACTATAGCGTGGATCAGATTGCTAAAAGGTGTACACCCGGCCACCTGTTGTGTATCAGGTGAATACCCCACAGGTCTGGCTGGGGGGAGGTGTATGCAAAGCCACCCGGTGTTTTTGATGTCGACAATCCACTTGGGTCTGGTGGGAAAGGTGCACATGCATAACGGGAAAAATAACCCACACTACTGAGAGAAGGGTGAGCAGAGGAGGATGCAGGGGCAGAGCGGATTCCTGTCTCCGAGAGGTCGGTGGGGGTGGCGCGCCCGCTCTTCTCCTAGCAGAAAGGTCCTCGGGGTCTGGGAGGAGGTTAGCGGATCAAGACACCTCGGACTGCAGCTCAGAGTCGTGGCAAGTCGTAGCTAGTCCACTGAGCCACGGTCCGCTCGCTAGGTTTCTCCTGCGTGTGACAGGACGAGCCACCCCCTTTGCCGGAGGCGCGTTCTCCCCTACCCCCGCCCCGGCGCAGGTCACCCCCTCGTCGTTCTTCCTCAGGGTCCCAGTAGAGGAGGAGACGGCCACGCAGGCTGGCCTGACTGGGCAGCAGGGTGAGGGAGAAGGAGGTCGCAGGTGCAGTATCCCGGCGCCAGCTGATGCGGGTGCGCGCGCAGCTGTTGTTTACTAGCCGGTAACTGTTTCAGAGCCGCGGCGCGCGCAGGGTTCGCGCTGCCGGGGCTGGCGCCCCCTCCCCGGCCCGACGCCAGAGCAGCAGTTACGTGACCTGGCCTCCCCCAGCCCCGGGCCCGACGGGGTGCGCCCGCGCCGCCGCAGCCCTTCCCTTCCCTCCCCGCTTGTTCCTCATTCGAGGTGAACCTTGCGAAGAGAAGCCCGGGGGTGCAGTGAGAGGGCGGAACCGTCCCGCGGGCGCCCGAAAGCCCCGCCCAGCCGCCGCAGCCCGCGGTGACCGAGTGCAGCGCGCCTGCGCTCGCCGCGGGACACGGCAGGCGGGGCGGGGCCGAATACGAGTGGCCAGGGGCACGACGGGAGCTGTAGTCCAGGGCACGGCCCGACCCGCGTGAAGAGGGGAATAATCCTTTTCCTCGGTCCGGCTGTGCTGCACACTCACTCTGGAAGCATCCTAGAGGGCGGGCGCTGCTCCTCACCCTCAGAACCCGGGGAGCCATTTCTCTTTCATGAGTGTCTCTGAAAACATCATTCATGATTTCTTTAACCAGAAACACCGCTCCTATACCTGGGAATAACCCTCATTGTAATTTTTATGTAGAGGTCTACATACAAATAAACCACTTTTATGTAAAAAAAAAAAATTAAAACTATAAAGTAGGCCTGGCGCGGTGGTTCACGACTGTAATCCTAGCACTTTGGGAGGCTGAGGCGGGCGTGATCGATCACCTGAGCTCAGGAGTTCCAGACCAGCCTGGCCAGCATAGCGAAACCCCGTCTCTACCAAAAATTCAAAAATTAGCCGGGCGTGGTGGCGTGTGCCTGTAATCCCAGCTATTCCTTAGACTGAGGCAGGAGAATCGCTTGAGCTTGGGAGGCGGAGGTTGCAGTGAGCCGAGAACGCACCATTGCATTCCAGCCTGGGGGGACAAGAGCAAAACTCCGTCTCAAAGAAATAAATAAATAAAAATAAAACTATAAAGTACCTTAAACACATTTGTCCTACTTTAATTTTTTGTTGTTGTTCTTGTCCTTTTAATAAATGCTATGTCCACTTTCTAGTCAGACTGAAAGTTCCACTAAATAATACGTTTTTTTATACCTGGAGAAGACGTTGATGTATTTTCTCAAATCCATTCCATGTTTTCACCACTACATTTGTCGCTAGAATATTTTTTCTTAGTGTTTATTTAATGTATAAATGGTGGTGTTCGATAAATTCTGACTCACCAATGTTTTGTTTGAAAAGCTATTTCCTATAGCTGTGATCAAGACCTCTAAATTTAACAATCACCTGGGCCCAGAAACTGGCCCCCGGTTTTGCCTGGGGTCTTGGCTCCTCACAAGTGGTTATGTTTAAGCAGCACTCCTAGCAATGGGAACTGTATTCCCGGAAGTTCTCTTTTATCAAATGACACACAAAGTCCAAATCCTTTCAAGGATTAAAGGATCAAAAAGGTTAAAAAGATCCTGGTAACAAAATGAGAAATCCTAATGTAAAGTGTAAACCTCCTAAAGTTTGACTCTTTATAAAGTCTGGGTTTCTTGATTCAGGCCCACAGCTTTCATCCATCCTCAGCAGGATCAATTTTTTCCTCAGGCAGGCCTGCCGTTCATTCAAACTTCAGACTTTTCCTTTATAAAGAAACACAGAATTTTTATGAAACCCAATTTCCTACCAGTGTATCTGCATTTACTTATATGTACCACCTAATTCCAATATACTATCCCTGTTAAGACTTTTCTTGTTTCTGAGCACTAACCAAGCTCTATAAATGTATGTCTCAGACGTTAATACCCCAGGGATCTCTTTATTTTCTCAGGGAGACACAGCCTCTGGTGCAAAATGAAGCCTCATTCCTCAGGGGATCTCTTATGGAAAAAGTCCTTTTTATATTCATGCCAGTTTGCTTTCTCTCCTCTATATTCATTAGGAATATTTTCAGGTTAAAGCTTTTAAGTCTACACAGGTGGTAGCATGGAGCAATGCTAATTCTTTTTTTTTTTTCTTTTTTGTAAGATAAAGGCAGAACTGCAGCCAACATTAAAAAACTGGTAGCAAAATTCACTTACTGACTTTGGTGCTTAAGAAACATGTCTCCAATCATTATCCCCTTAATTGGATAAGATAACTTTTAAAAATCTTTCAGATCCAATGTTATATCCAATCCTGTAAGTGAACAAGCTAAGAAATAAAATTGCTTGACAGGAAACAAGTATCCCATTTCACAATTTCTCTAAGTTAACTCTTTAAAATCCTTCAGATCCAATGTTAAGAACCCTGCAAGTAAGTGAACAGGCTAAGAAATAAAATTCCTTGACAGGAAACAAGTATCTCATTTCACCATTCCTATATGTTTCAGTAATGTATTTCAAAATCATCTGTCTTCTATTAATTATGACTCCAGTTGAGAGACTTTTTTTTTTCTTTTCAGCAACCCACAACTATCCTGAACTTTTCTGCTGGGATGGTCAAATAGCAAGATCCAAGAAAAGCAAAGTCTGGCCGGGCACTGTGGCTCACGCCCGTAATCCCAACACTTTGGGAGGCCAAGGCAGGAGGACAGCTTGAGCCCGGAGTGCAACACCAGCTTGGGCAACATAGTGAGACCTCGTTTCTATAAAAAATTTAAAAATGGGGTGGACCGCTTGAGACAGGGAGGTAGAGGCTGCAATGAGTTGTGATCACATCACTGCACTCCTGCCTGGACCACAGGAGTGAGACCTGACTCAAAAAAAAAAAAAAAGTATTTCCAGGGTATGTCTTCATAAATCACATCTGTGCTAATTTAAGTTATATCTGCTTCTGGAATCTAGAATTTTTATCATAGAAAATAAAGATTGCAGAATTAAAATACAGACTCCACAAAGCAATTTTAAAATCTGCAGCACTAGGCCGGCCAAGGTGGCTCATGCCCGTAATCCCAGCACTTTGGGAGGCTGAGGCGGGCGGATTACTTGAGGTCAGGAGTTTGAGATCAGCCTGACCAACAAGGTGAAACCTTGTTTCTACTAAAAATACAAAAATTAGCCAGGCATGGTGGTGTGCGCCTGTAGTCCTAGCTACTCGGGAGGCTGAGGCAGGAGAATAGCTTGAACCCAGGAGGCGGAGGTTGCAGTGAACCAAGATGGCGCCACTGCACTCCAGCCTGGGGTACAAGAGCAAAACTCCATCTCAAAAAAAAAGAAAGACCCAGGCCAGGTGTGGTGACTCATGCCTGTAATCCCAGCACTTTGGGAGGCTGAGGTGGGTGGATCACTTGAGGTGAGGAGTTTGAGACCAGCTTGGCCGACATGGCGAAACCCTGTCACTACTAAAAGAAATACAAAAATTAGCCAGGTGTGGTGGCGTGCACCTGTAATCCCAGTTACTTGGGAAGCTGAGGCAGGAGAATTGCTTGAACCTGGGAGACGGAGGTTGTAGTCAGCCAAGGCTGCACCCCTGCACTCCAGCCTGGACAACAGATCTAGACTCTGTCTCAAAAGAAAAAAAAAGAAAGGCCCACCACTAAATCAATTTGAGTTCAAAGATAAGTTAATCAGGAGAAAAATCAGACTAAACAGGTTAAGTAACTTTCTCAAAGTTATACAAAAAGCAAATACTGGTCTTCTGACTTTCAATTCACTGACCTCTGTCTGTAATATGCCTATTACTTTTACAAGTACTCTTCCATTTTTAATCAAAATCTTATTTCAAGGGACAAGAAATTACGTTAAGTGACAACAGAGGTATTTTTCAGTGAATGCTGACAGCTGTGAAAGTCTTAATCTTTCTTCCCCAATACCCTCCTATCATGAACAGCACATGACCACTCTTGCAACAGCAGGACTGAAGTTTTTCTTCCAAGTGGTATTGTTGCAACTCTCTGGGGTACTCTCCTTTATCATCTCCCTCCCTTTAAAAAAATACTGCCAATCCTTTCCTCCAACAACTCACAAAATAAGAGTTTTTCAAATCATTTTATCTTTAATAATCTTGTAGTAATTTAAAATATGAGAAAAAAAAGTCAAATGTGTTCCCTTTATGGGTGATGCCACCATGATTGCCTCACACAAGCATAATCAATCGCCACGAGAGACTGGATGCCAAAGAGTATGGCTGGCAAAAAGGCATCAGGGCTCACAGTCCGAAGAGTTTGGTTACGGAGTCTCCGAGGGGTAACAGGTGGCAGAAAAGACATCAGTTTAAGGGACCCTCAGAGGACAGGGCGCGGTTGCTGGGTCATGAGCACCTTGAAGCGTTTCTTGATGGTGATTCGGTGTCGAGAGTATTTGTCATCTGGGGAGAACCGAGCAGGATGGGCTGAGCAGGTCTGTTGTCCCATCGGGTCAAATTTCTGCTCCAGGAACACAGAATGTATGTCAGTACAGGAGTGATGAAATGGGGTGGGGCCAGCGCGAAAAAGGGCAAACATGAAAATAGAAGATGCAATGGTCAACTCAAAAAGTTGTACAAATAAATAGAGAAATATAAAATTTAAAAAGGCCGAGCGCGGTGGCTCACGCCTGTAATCCTGGCACTTTGGGAGGTCGAGGCGGGAGGATGGTTTGAGACCAGCCTGGGCAATATGGCGAAACCTCGTCTCTACAACAAACAAACAAACAAAACCAACCAACCAAACAAAAAACCCCAAAACCAAAAATTAGCCGGGTATGGTGGCGCACGCCTGTAGTCCCAACTACTCGGGAGGCTGAGGCAGAAGGATTGTTTGAGCCCAGGAGGCGGAGGTTGCAGTGAGCCGAGACCGCACCACCGCACTACAGCCTAGGCAACAAAGCGAGTCCCTGTCTTTAAAAAAAAAAAAAAAAAAAAAAAGGAAAAGTGAGTGCAATGGCGCTATCCCGGCTCACTGCAACCTCTGCCTCCCGGGTTTAAGCGATTCTCCTGTCTCAGCCTCCCGAGTAGCTGGGATAACAGGCGCACACCGCCATGCCCGGCTAATTTTTTGTATTTTAGTAGAAACGGAGTTTCACAGTGTTGCCCAGAATGGTCGCGAACTCCTGAGCTAAGGCAATCCACCCGCCTCGGCCTCCCAAAGTGCTAGGATTACAGGCGGGAGCCACTGCGCCCCGCCAGAATTTTTTCTTTTAATTAAAAAATGAGTCGCGCGGTCCCGGTTCTTCCCCACCTCGGTTCTGGACTTTCTGGTTCCCCGCACCCAGCTAGGTAACTCCACGTATGACCTCACCCACTCCTCCCATCTACATTTCTCGCCATGCCTATTTACACCCTGTTTTCTCTCCTCACCTTCAGCGTATAGACTCGATCTCCCTGCTCGTTGAGGTAATACTGGAGAAACATGATCGCTTATAAGCCAGCGGTCCCAATTCGGTCCACCGCTCAGTCTGCAGTGGTCCGCCCGACCGCGTCACGTGTTCGTCAATTTCCTTCCTGCATAACCGGAAGTCTCTCTCTCCTGGCACTCCGGAAAATGTAGTCAATTTTTGCCTTGTTTTCAGCTAGCCAGAAGGGGGCGCACGAGAGCAGGGCTTGGCTTGGGGCCCTACTTGCAACTTTGCAGGCTAAAACACGTGGAGTGTCCCTACTGTGTGCTAGGTACACGGCGTTAGAGGGGGGTAGGGATGGATGTGGATAGAATATTGACGTATAGAAGCCTGTCTTTGTCTCAAGATACACACCCATTTCAGGAGCAGTGAGTTTTCAATGCCTGAAGAAACAAGGGCTCCAGGATTCAGAGCCCCTTTACCCTAGGGAAGAAAGAAGAGGTTTTCTTCCCTCCCCTCTTTTACATCCAGTTCCCCTGCTCCATTTCAAAGCGTTGGCGGTAAAGAATGCATGTTGAGTATCAATATTCCGTAAAGCGAAAGAGCGTAAAGTTATTTTATGAAACTGGTGAAGCATGTTTCAGCGGTCGAACCAAGATTTAAAGTTAGGTCCCTACCGCAAATTCAGCGCTCTTTCTTATGGTGGTGAGTAGCTAATAATAACGTAATAAAGTGCACCTTCTAGGAGTTTTTACAATTTTTAAAAGAATATAGAAGTTCTCCTTATAAGACTCTCGTTTAAAGAAATGAAAATGAGAACCAAAATATCATTACAAAGATCATCGTTACGCCATTATTTACAATGACAAAAGCATTGGAATATATATTAACTGTGTAACCAGAAAAACCTGCACTTTTTTTTTTTTTTTTTTAAGAATATGGTTTGGCGGGGCGCGGTGGCTCACGCCTGTAATCCCAACACTGGGAGGCTGAGGCAGGCAGATCACAGGTCAAGGGTTCGAGACCAGCCTGGCCAATCTGGCGAAACCCCGTCTCTACTAAAAATACAGAAAAATTAGCCGGGCGTGGTGGTGGGCGCCTGTAGTCCCAGCTACTTCAGAGGCTGAGGCAGGAGAATCATTTGAGCCGGGGAGGCAGAGGTTGCAGCGAGCTGAGATAGCACCACTGCACTCCAGCCTGGGTCCGTCTTAAAGAAAAAAAAATATGGTTTGTGGCTGGGCGCGGTGGCTCACGCCTGTAATCCCAGCACTTTGGGAGGCTGAGACGGGTGGATCACAAGGTCAGGAGTTCGAGACCAGCCTGGCCAATATGGTGAAACCCCCAAAAATACAAAAATTAGCGGGGCGTGGTGGCGGGCACCTGTAGTCCCAGCTACTCGGGAGGCTGAGGCAGGAGAATCACTTGAACCCAGGAGGCGGAGGTTGCAGTGAGCCAAGATCACGCCACTGCACTCCAGCCTGGGCGACAGAGCGAGATCCTGTCTCAAAAAAAAAAAAAAAAAAAAAAGAATATGGTTTGTATTTACTTGTAGTTGCATAAAAAATCTCTGCAAGTATTCACAAGAAACAGATGATACTGGTTTCCTCTGGGATAGAGAACTTAGTTGCAGGAGAAAGGGGTAAGGGTTGGGAGGCAGACTTATTGCTATGTATTTTATTACGCAGTTTGATTTTTGAACCTTGCTAATGTATTTATTACCTGTTAAAAATTTTTTAAAGGCCGGGCACGGTGGCTCACGCCTAGTAATCCCAGCACTTTGGGAGGCTGAGGCGGGCGGATCATGAGGTCAGGAGATCGAGACTATCCTGGCTAACACAGTGAAACCCCGTCTCTACTAAAAATACAAAAAATTAGCCGGGCATGGTGGTGGGTGCCTGTAGTCCCAGCTACTCAGGAGGGTGAGGCAGGACAATGGCGTGAACCCGGAAGGCGGAGCTTGCAGTGAGCAGAGATCACGCCACTGCACTACAGCCTGGGTGACAGAGCGAGACTCTGTTTAAAAAAAAAAATTTAAATCTAAGTAGTTAATTTTGTTAGAAAGGAAAATGATGATTTTAGCCTTCAGGTCTTTAGAAAAGAGAAAAGATATCTCAGAGGAAGCAAGAAAGATGCCATGAACCCCAGGGAAGGCCTTTTGGGGGAAATCCACGTTTGGATGAAGCTGTGGCTGTAGAGGATGCTCTGGGAGTTACTGGCCTGAAATAGTCGCCAGGAACCTTAGCAGATAAATTTTATTTTTAAAGTTTAAACCAAAATAATTTAACAAAAAGAAGGACTTTCTACTCTTGAAATTTTAAACTGCATGGCAGCTTTTTTATTTAGTGAGGCTTTTCAGCAAAGGGTAAGGCGTCTGTGGAGTACAGAGCCTATGTTAGTAGATTGGACAGCTTTCCAAGGAAATGATGTGCACACAGCAATCGAGCACCTTGGATCATCTGACAATTCTAATTTTAAACTTTAGTTCCCTTGATCCTTACGTGTATAGACCAATGTACTCTGAATTTAGTTCAGAAAATATAGCCATCATTGAATTAAGTCAGGGGTCTACAGTCAACCTGCTGTTAATAGGAAGTCAGTTACAGAACTGGCTGGGATGGAAGGACACAAAATGAGATATGTTGGTGAAGAATCGAAGTGTAGTGAACCAAACGGTAAAACTGTAATGTGTTGGGAATCTGAGAAAAAGTTTACAAATAGCCCTAAAGAGGCAAACATCAATTGTGTTGCCAAACTGTAGTTTGAAGGGAATTCCTGGTTTTTTCATACTTACTAGAACCCTTCATGGAATATCTGTCCCCACCCTCACCCCACTTTTCCCTCTCCCCTCCCCCACAGCAGAATGCCTTGAGTTCCGTATTCTAGTTCTGTGTGATCTGATCTTTACCTTCCCTTCCTTGGATCCCTGTGCACCTACTGGAGCCAGGTTACTCTGGGTCCTGGACCTGACTGCCTCATTCTGGAGGCTTCCAGACAGCCACAGTTAGTGCCCAAACCTGAGAGGATG
Source organism: Homo sapiens (assembly GCF_000001405.40). Classification (NCBI taxonomy): domain Eukaryota; kingdom Metazoa; phylum Chordata; class Mammalia; order Primates; family Hominidae; genus Homo; species Homo sapiens. The sequence goes on from NW_025791798.1 coordinate 84,764, forward strand.
GCTTCAGATGGAGGTAAGTCTGCAGGTGGTGAGGAGGATTTCTGGTACCTGCTCATATCCTTTGAGACAAGCTCTCTGGGCTGACCTAAAGGAATGTGAGGTGCTACACCCCGTCAAAGGTATCACACTTGGGGAGGCTAGGGAAGGAGATTGTACCTTTAAGACTAGGGGCTGGGGAAGGAAGAGGACTTCCTTAAGGACAGATTAAGGTGTCTCTGAGGACACATGCTGAGTATAGAGAAAGGATGGCAATTAGCAACTTGATTCTCTTGAACAGGGGACACTTCCGCATGTGTTTTTGTGGTGGGAGAGAGGATCAGGGGTATGTGTCTTAGGACTGGCACAGAGAGGTTTCAAGGGGGAAGGCCCAAGTTCATCTGTCTTTTTTAGGCAACTGGAGCCTGTTCTAGGATTTTGCCATGCTTGAGCTTATGAGGGGAAGGGGATGTGGAGGATGGAGGATGGGAGGGTAAGGTGGGAAGGACCTTAGTGGGAAAAGATAATCTGTAGTTATCTGTTGCAGAGAAATGCCTTCCTGAAAACTAGGCTGGAATGTATTATAAACTGCCTCTGCTTGGGCCGGGTGCGGTGGCTCATGCCTGTAATCCCAGCACTTTGGAAGGCTGAGGCGGGTGGATCACCATGTTGGCCAGGCTGGTCTCGAACTCCTGACCTCAAGTGATCCACCTCCCTCGGCCTCCCAAAGTGCTGAGATTACAGGCGCTTGAGGTCGGGAGTTCGAGACCAGCCTGACCAACGCGTGGAGAAACCCTATCTCTACTAAAAATACAAAAAAAAAATTAGCCGGGCATGGTGGCACATGCCTGTAATCTTAGCTACTCGGGAGGCTGAGGCAGGAGAATCACTTGAATCTGGGAGGCGGAGGTTGTGGTGAGCCAAGATCGCGTCATCGCACTCCAGCCTGGGCAACAAGAGCGAAACTCAGTCTCAAAAAAACAAAAAAAAACAAAAAAACAAAACACAAAAAACAGCTGCCTCTGCTCAGAGCCCCACGGCTCCTTCCAGCCCTAGAGGTGGCTTTGCTCTGAGTTCAGGAAGCAGTTTTTCCTGATTCATCTGGGCCAGGGAGGTGGGTCATGACAGCCAGGATGAGAGCAGGGGCTTCACTGAGATGCTCTTAGTTTTTCTTCCTTTTATGGATCTCAGGCCTTCAGGCCCCTTTCATTGTGTTCTGCACTCAGTGGCATACCCTCAGCCCTCTGCTCTGTGGCTGAAATGAGTTTGAATCTGAGTTTGCTCATGTCCCATGGTCAGAATGCAGAAGTTGAGTGGTGTTAGTTTGCCAGTGGAATATTTTTTGTAAGGGGGAGGAGATTTAAGCAGGTTATATTCTACCTTTTTTTTTTTTTTTTGAGATGGAGTCTCACTGTGTCGCTTACGCTGGAGTGCAGTGGTGTGATGTTAGCTCACTGCAACCTCTGCCTCCCGGGTTCAAGCGATTCTCTTTCCTCAGCCTCCTGAGCAGCTGGGATACAGGCGCCCACCACCACACCCAGCTAATTTTTGTATTTTTAGTAGAGACGGGGTTTCACCATGTTGGCCAGGCTGGTCTCCAACTCCTGACCTCAAGCGCCTGTAATCTCAGCACTTTGGGAGGCCGAGGGAGGTGGATCACTTGAGGTCAGGAGTTCGAGACCAGCCTGGCCAACATGGTGAAACCCCGTCTCTACTAAAAATACAAAAATTAACTGGGCATGGTGGCGCCCGCCTGTAATCCCAGCTACTCGGGAGGCTGAGGCAGGAGAATCGCTTGAACCCGGGAGGCTGCAGAGGTTGCAGTGAGCTGAAATTGTGCCACTGCGCTCCAGCCTAGGTGACAGAGACTCTGCCTCGGAAAAGAGAAAAAAAAAAAGTCCTAGGAGACACAGGTTCTCATCAATTAAGTACACATTTGTATACTTATCCTTGGTCTTTTTGACTAGAGTCCACGTAGCCCCTCCTCAGCTGGAACTGTGACAATGAAGGACTTCATTGTCCTTTCCTTAGCACCTAGCTCAGTGCCTTGTTCCTAGTGAGCCCTAAATTTCTGATATTAGGAGCTCCAAGTAGAAGGACCACAGATAGTCTGCATCGCCAAACATGTCCAGCAGTTACTTAAAGATCTGGAAACTTCTCTCCCCACACCGCCCTCCCCTCACTCATTTCCTTGTCCTTATCTAATCCTCTCTAATTATTCCTGGCTGTTATACAACAACATTTCTGGGAACCAAACATCCAATCCCCGTATCCTCTCCTGGGAACAGTACTTCTGTGAGTGGTGGCAGAGGCCACAGAGCAGCTGGGAGAAAGCAGGGTTCAGGTGGTTTGAATCTTTTGTTTGGAATAGGTGAGCATAGGAGATGTACATGTAATGCTGGGTGGAATGTGTTATGGGATATCTGAACTTCGTGGGTCCTAGAGTCACTGCTCCTGCTTATAGATTGAATCTTTCTTCTGTTGTTTTAGGTTAAGAGAGATTTATAAGAAGCAACAGGAAAAGGAAAAGGAGGAGGGAATAAGCCAATAATATTTTTGAAAGTGCCTCCTTCTCAAAGGCCTTGTGGATGCCTCGAGATGGGCTGGAACTTATCGTGGACTAGTTCCCTTACTGCACTGAGCCTGCTGTGGGCTGTTTTCTCTGCAGATCAGGTGTCAACCCAATTCTGTATCTTAGTAAACAGCCTATGGAGAGGCTGGAGAGGTCTGCCAGGAATTTTCTTAGAGAAGCACTTAGGGGACCGGGCACAGTGGCTCATGCCTGTAATCCCAACACTTTAGGAGGTCGAGGCGGGTGGATTACCTGAGGTCAGGTTTTTGAGACCAGCCTGGCCAACATGGCGTAAACACCGTATGTCCTAAAAATACAAAAATTAGCTGGATGTGGTGGTTCGTGCCTGTAATCCCAGCTACTTGCGGGGCTGAGGCAGGAGAATCACTTGAACCCAGGAGGTGGAGGTTGCAGTGAGCTAAGATCGTGCTGCTGCACTCCAGAATGGGCCACAGAGCAAGACTCCATCTAAAAAAAAAAAAAAAAAAAAAAAAAAAAAAAAAAAAAAGCAGCACTTAGAGGCAGTGATGGCTTGGGCTTGTCTCTTCTTGGCAGATAGGGGTCTGTGTGTCTTGTTGAAAAAGAAGCAACTTCTTTAATGCAGTCATTCTCAACGAGAAGTAAGATCAAAATCACTTGGGGGACATTTGCAAACTATGCAAGTTCCCCATCCATATCCCCTCTTTCACCTGTTGAGAATCAGTGCTTTGAGTCTTCGGGTCTAAAGAAGAACTCAGATGGGGTGTGGTGGCTCACACCAGTTATCTCTGCACTTTGGAAGGCTGAGGCAGGAGGATCACTTGAGGCCAGGAGTCTGAGCCTAGCCTAGGCAACATAGCGAGACGTCATCTCTACAATTTTTCTTTTTTTTTTTTTTGAGACAGAGTTTTCCTTTGTCACCGAGGCTGGAGCACAGAGGCGCAATCTCAGCTCACTGCAGCCTCAACTTCTTGGGCTCAAGCGATCCTCCCACCCCAGCCCCCCAAGTAGTTGGGACTACAGGTGCATGCCACCGCACCTGGCTTATTTTCGTATTTTTAATGGAGACAGGGTTTTGCCATGTTGCCCAGGCTGGTCTCAAACTCCTGGAGTCAAGCAATCCTTCCACCTTGGCCTCCCAAAGTGCTGGGATTACAGATATGAACCACCGTGCCCGGCCTCTACAAAAAAATTTAAAAATAAAGGAGGAATTCACCTGTAATCCCAGCACTTTGGGAGGCCGAAGCAGGCGGATCACAAGGTCAGGAGATCGAGACCAACCTGGCTAACACGGTGAAACCCCGTCTCTATTAAAAATACAAAAAGTTAGCCGGGCGTGGTGGTGGGCGTCTGTAGTCCCAGCTACACAGGAGGCTGAGGCAGGAGAATGGCATGAACCTAGGAGGCGGAGATTGCAGTGAGCCGAGATTGTGCCACTGCACTCCAGCCTGGGCGACAGAGCGAGACTCCATCTCAAAAAATAAAAATAAAAATAAAAATAAAAATAAAAAAATGGGGAATTCAGATGGCTAACTCTGGTCTTCTTTTCTCCTACTCCATTTCTTCTTTTTCTTTGTCTCAACAGCATCTGCATTGCCGGGACCGGATATGAGCATGAAACCTAGTGCCGCCCTGTCTCCATCCCCTGCACTTCCCTTTCTCCCACCAACTTCTGACCCACCAGACCACCCACCCAGGGAGCCACCTCCACAGCCCATCATGCCTTCAGTATTCTCTCCAGACAACCCTCTGATGCTCTCTGCTTTCCCCAGCTCACTGTTGGTGACAGGGGACGGGGGCCCTTGCCTCAGTGGGGCTGGGGCTGGCAAGGTCATTGTCAAAGTCAAGACAGAAGGGGGGTCAGCTGAGCCCTCTCAAACTCAGAACTTTATCCTTACTCAGACTGCCCTCAATTCGACTGCCCCGGGCACTCCCTGTGGAGGCCTTGAGGGTCCTGCACCTCCATTTGTGACAGCATCTAATGTGAAGACCATTCTGCCCTCTAAGGCTGTTGGTGTCAGCCAGGAGGGTCCTCCAGGCCTTCCGCCTCAGCCTCCACCACCAGTTGCTCAACTGGTCCCCATTGTGCCCCTGGAAAAAGCTTGGCCAGGGCCACATGGGACAACCGGGGAAGGAGGTCCTGTGGCCACTCTATCCAAGCCTTCCCTAGGTGACCGCTCCAAAATTTCCAAGGACGTTTATGAGAACTTCCGTCAGTGGCAGCGTTACAAAGCCTTGGCCCGGAGGCACCTATCCCAGAGTCCTGACACAGAAGCTCTTTCCTGTTTTCTTATGTAAGTGGGGAGACCGGAGATTAATTATTCTAGGGCTTTTAAATAAGGAGGACTTTGGGGTGAACATAGTAGTTTAGGCTATTTAGGACTACTTGAGGGAAGGTCATGAGGGCAAGGGAGATGCTCTGAGAATGAAAAACATATTAATAATAATAATCAGCCTCTTAACCCACTTCCTAGTTTATAACAACCTTTCAGGTGTCTTATCTTAAGTGATCCTCACCACACTGTGAGTTCAGGCAAGCCTTCCTCTGGTAATCTTCATTTACAGATAAGAAGACTGAAACCAAGGACCAGTGATTGGAACTTAGGTCTCTCACTCTAAGTGCCAGGGTCCTCCCCCCGTTCTATTTTACTACCTTTTGACATTGAGTCAGAACTATCCAAACTAGCCAGGATGAGTGCTGGACCCTAACTCAGGGCCCTGGGTGGCAGGGGGAACAGTGTGGGGCCAGGCAAAGGACTTTGTGTGTGCTGCTCCCTCTGCTCCCTCCACTCATTTTATTCAGGAGAATTCACTTTGAAATAGGGTGGTGGGTAGAGCTTGCTTAGTGGTCAAGGGCATGGCTCTACCACTCACTAGATTTGTGATCCTGGGCAGGACATTTAACATCTTTGCCCTCAGTTTTCTCAGTTAAAAAGGGGGATAACTATACCTAATTCACAGAGTTGCTGAGGAGATTAAATGGGTTAATATATGTGAAGTCCTTGGCGCAGAGAATGTTTCATTAAATGTCAACTGTTTTATTATTATCCTAAAAAGGCCATCTAGAAGAGGAAAAGAACTCGCAAAAGGTCAAAACGTCCTTGCTTAAGAGCGAGTGTGTGTTTAGTCAAGGAGCCCAGGGTCCTAGGCTGTTTTGTTTACAAAACAGTCATTCCTCAGCTGGGGAACAGTCTTCCCTTCCCACCCAGACCCACTGTCCCTCTCAACTGCCCTGTGCCCTCAGCATTTTGTGTAAGCCGCTATATAACACATACCACATTTTATTGCTTTAAACAAATGTACATGGTGCTCTTCCAGTGGCTGAACTCCTAAAGGAATCCCTCTACCCCGAACTTGGAGCAAATGAATCAAGATGTTCCCCCAAAGTCCTAGATGTACAGCGTCTTCAGGCTCCCTGCTTTCTCAAGGCAGATCTGAGTTCGCTCTTGGAGCCTAGCAGGCTAAATTTCAAAATCTTGAACCAGTGTGGGCTCTCAAGGTTTGCATGGGATCCATTTGCTTTGGGTCCTGGTCTGCTTGTGCTTCACACTCAGGGGCTCTGGGCAGGGTCTTCCACAAGAGGCAGTCCAGACCACTGCAACATGGGAAGCTCCTAAAATGCTCAGTTGTGGGATCCTGGGGAGCTGCAAGTTGATTATAACGAGCTTCCCCAAGCGATTCTGATGCCCAATAATGTCTGAGGACTCCAAGGGAGTCAGAGAGATAAAAATGAAGCCCTTGCTTTAGGCTGGGCTCTTGATTTCTTCTGGATTAGGAAGGGCTCAAGAGCCCTCTAGAAGTGGGGGTCTAGTACTGGCATTTAACTGTCTGTGGGGAATATCTGGAAACAAAGACTGAAAAACCAATAAATAAAAACACCACATGACCTTTAATTAGAGATTCCTTTGGGTTAGCAAATGCCTTTAAAGAAAAAATGCAAGAGCCTTTGGACAAGGTTAAACATACTTTATAGCAAATCCCATTCATTTAATAACGCGAGTCCTCCCTTTCTAATAATTAATTGAGGATGGCACTGTGATAATTAGGGGTGGTAGTTGCCATTGATTTTAAAAGGTGGGGAGAAGAATTGTCTGTTTGATTTTATATTAGTTGTAAAGTTCAACAGGAAGAGGGGCGAGTATGGTAGATGAATGGATGGGAGGTTGAGCGTCTGTAAGTCTAATCAGAAGTGGGACACGACAGGCCCTAAGGGGCACAATAGATTTGATGAGGGGCAGGGGATGTGTTATTGATGTAGGTGTCAGGGCAGGTGGATGGGAGCACACTTTTAGAATGTGACTGACTCAATGGGGGTTTTAGCCCAGTGCTTCGTTCCCTGGCCCGGCTGAAGCCCACTATGACCCTGGAGGAGGGACTGCCATTGGCTGTGCAGGAGTGGGAGCACACCAGCAACTTTGACCGGATGATCTTTTATGAGATGGCAGAAAGGTGAGTTCGATGAACCTTCATTCTCCTGAGGGAGGCTGTGTGGCTGAGAGCAGTAAGGGCCGCAGAGAGGCTTGTGTGGGGGTGATTATCAAAAGCCATGTTAGGATGGGGCGCAGCGGCTCACGCCTGTAATCCCACCACTTTGGGAGGCCAAGGCCGGTGGATCACCTGAGGTCAGGAGTTCGAGAACAGCCTGGCCAACATGGCGAAACCCTGTCTCTACTAAAAAAAAAAAAAATACAAAAATTAGCCGGGCATGGTGGCATGTGCCTGTAGTCCCAGCTACTCAGGAGGCTGAGGCAGGAGAATCGTTTGAACCTGGGAGGTGGAGGTTGCTGTGAGCCAAGATCATGCCTCTGCACTCCAGCATGGGTGACAGAGCAAGACTCCATCTCAAAAAAAAAAAAAAAAAAAAAAAAAAAAAGGGATGTTAGGCTGGGTGTGTGCTTGTAGTCCCAGCTACTCTAGAGGCTAAGGTGGGAGGATGGTTTGGGTTCAGTAGTTCAAGACCAGCCTGGACAACATAGCAAGACCTCATCACAAAAAAAAAAAAAAGAAAAGAAAAGAAAAAAAGGGACGGGAGGAGGGGTGTAGACTAGGATGGCAGTTTCCTGGATCCTTGCTTCTTCTTCCACCACCTTGACTCTTGGGTTTTTCTATCCTGTTTCCTCTTGAAAGCTCCCCCCTCACCAGATCCTGAATCTGTATAGGAGCCTTGATATTGTAGGTCTTAGGATGGGATTGGAGATTGGACCCCGATAGATATAGAAATTTCATGCTGAAGGGACCTAGCAATGAGGAGGTGTGCTCTACCAGGCAGGTTCTTTTCTCTTCTCATTGACTTGGTAGCAAGTGGCTATTGATACAGAACTTCAGGACCACTCCTCCATTGGAAATAGTGGCACAGAAAATCCCTTTCCGCCTTTATCCCAGGGAGGGGGCTGGTTCTGGAAGAGCCGGGGAAAGCCAGTGTCCTGGATGCCCAAAGTTGTCTCCTGGCTCTTCTTCTATTTCTCTATAATATCTTTGATTAAAAAAAAAAAAAAAAAGGCTGGGCGTGGTGGCTCCGCCTGTAATCCCAGCACTTTGGGAGGCCGAGGCAGGCGGATCACCTGAGGTCGGGAGTTCGAGACCAGCCTGACTAACATGGAGAAACCCCCATCTCTACTAAAAATACAAAATTAGCCAGGCATGGTGGCGCATGCCTGTAATCCCAGCTACTCAGGAGGCTGAGGCAGGAGAATCGCTTGAACCCAGGAGGCAGAGGTTGCGGTGAGCCGAGATTGTGCCATTGCACTCCAGCCTCGGCAACAAGAGCGAAACTCTGTCTCAAAAAAAGAAAGAAAGAAAGAAAAAACTCAGAAAAATGAACAGATTCTTCCAAGCTTAGCTTCCACTTACTCCCTCCCAAAACCTTTTGGACCCATGCTTCCTAGACTTACCTTTCCAAGAATCCCATCCCAGTCTCAGGACTCTGGGATCTCACATTGTTTCCTGGTAGGAACTGCCTTGAATTCTTTGTGGTTGTAGGCAGGGGCAAATGAGGTCTTGAGGAGGATCCCACTGTGAGATCCCACCAGGCTGTTGCATAGGCCTGATTAAATTAAACAAGCCTATATTGAGCACTGCTGTGTACAATCCATGAAGCTGGGTGAGATAGGTACGGAAAACAAGTGAGGCCGGGCACATTGGCTCACACCTGTAATCCCAGCATTTTGGGAGGGTGAGGCGGGCGGATCATGAAGTCAGGAGATTGAGACCATTCTGGCTAACACGGTGAAACCCCGTCTCTACTAAAAATACAAAAAAAAAAAAAAAAAGCCAGGCGTGGTGGCACGCACCTGTAGTCCCAGCTACTCAGGAGACTGAGGCAGGAGAATCACTTGAACCCGGGAGGCAGAGGTTGCAGTGAGCCGAGATTGGGCCACTGCACTTCATCCTGGGCGACAGAGTGAGACTCTGTCTCAAAAACAAAAACAAGTACTGAAAGCCCTCGCTGTGTCCAAGAGAAGTTTACAAGCTCTAGATCATTCTTAACTTTTTTTTTTTTTTTTTTTTTTTTTGAGACAAAGTCTCACACTGTTGCCTGGGCTGGAGTGCAATGGCACGATCTCGGCTCACTGCAACCTCTGCCTCCTGGGTTCAAGTGATTCTCCTGCCTAAGCCTCCCGAGTAGCTGGGATTACAGGCACCCACCACCACATCAGGCTAATTTTGTGCATTTTTAGTAGAGACGGGGTTTCACTATGTTGGCCAGGCTGGTCTCGAACTCCTGACCTCATGATCCGCCCGCCTCAGCCTCCCAAAGTGCTGGGGTTACAGGCGTGAGCCACTGCGCCTGGCCTCATTCTTTACTTTTTAAAAATTTTCTTGAGGCAGGATCTCACTCTGTTGCCCAGGCTGGAGTGCAGTGGCACTGTCATGGCTCACTGCAGCCTTCACCTCTTGAGCTCAAGCGATCCTCCCACCTCAGCCCCACAATAGCTGTGACTAGACGCGCGTCATCACTCTTGGCTAATTTTTTTGGTATCTTTTGTAGAGATGGGTTTTTGCCGTGTTACCCAGGTTGGTCTCAAACTCTTGGGCTCAAGCAATCTGCCCACCTCAGCCTCCCAAAGTGTTGGGTTTATAGGCATGAGCCACCCCACCTGGCCATTCATTTTCTTAAGCTTCCTAAGTTATGACTATAGGGGAAGGAACTATGTGCTGAGCTCCTGAAGTTTCCCTGGAAATACGATTAAGCCACCTGTGACCACCCTCCTGGGTGACATGACTTAGGCAGACTTTGCCCACCTGAGAGCACTTCCTTTCTTGGCCATGCTTGGCTGTCGTCTGGATTTCTGATGGGTCTGGTCTCCTTCTCAGCATTGCCTATGCCTTTCTCACCCTCTGCAGGTTCATGGAGTTTGAGGCTGAGGAGATGCAGATTCAGAACACACAGCTGATGAATGGGTCTCAGGGCCTGTCTCCTGCAACCCCTTTGAAACTTGATCCTCTAGGGCCCCTGGCCTCTGAGGTTTGCCAGCAGCCAGGTGAGGCTACCCAATTTTGACAGGAGCCGTGGGCCAAAGGCTCAAAGGGATGCATACAGAAGCCAGTCACAGATTAGAGAAGGCATAGCCCAGGCTCTGCCACTTTCCCTCTGGAGAGTGGCATTTGATATTCCAAACAGACCACCCCATAGGAGGCTGGGTTCTCAGGTTCCTTTTGCCCTGAACTAGGTATTGATCTTGGTGAAGTAAACTGACTACTCTCACCGAGACTCTAAATTCAGCACATAATACCTCACCTGCCTAAGAAATGGGGACTGGATTAGGGGGTTTCTTGGAATCTCAGGGATTCCAAAATTCCTCATACAGTGATTCTTAGACCCTCTAGGTCCTAAATCTCCCATGGCTGGCGCTTTTTCAGGTTGGCCCAATCCAGCCTGGAACCATTTCAATGTACCCAGATTGCTGAGCTTACAGAGCTGGGAGGCAGAAGCTGTGGTTTCTGTGCTACTTCCCATTCTCCTGTCCATCTCTTCCCTTAGTGTACATTCCGAAGAAGGCAGCCTCCAAGACACGGGCCCCCCGCCGGCGTCAGCGTAAAGCCCAGAGACCTCCTGCTCCTGAGGCACCCAAGGAGATCCCACCAGAAGCTGTGAAGGAGTATGTTGACATCATGGAATGGCTGGTGGGGACTCACTTGGCCACTGGGGAGTCAGATGGAAAACAAGAGGAAGAAGGGCAGCAGCAGGAGGAGGAAGGGATGTATCCAGATCCAGGTCTCCTGAGCTACATCAATGAGCTGTGTTCTCAGAAGGTCTTTGTCTCCAAGGTGAGCTGGGCCTGCACATCTTGTTTCTAGCAGATCCTTGGGGTGGGTACTCCCGGGAACTAATGATCTGGGGTTTGTCCAATGCAGTAGGACTTAGGTTTTATTCTATAACTGAGTAATGTGTGTGCATGCATCATCATGAGAATGTGTGTAGCCGGTGGTGGTCAGTTTACAATACCGGAGGGGTAAGAGGGGAGAGTTGGGGAGCTCTTAGTTTCTTCTGTAAAGCCCCTTGTTTCACAGGTTACCTGCTTACAGACTTACATCGCTTTTCCTTCTGTTATCCAGGTGGAGGCTGTCATTCACCCTCAATTTCTGGCAGATCTGCTGTCCCCAGAAAAACAGAGAGATCCCTTGGCCTTAATTGAGGAGCTAGAGCAAGAAGAAGGACTCACTCTTGCCCAGGTAAAACTGGGGTATAGGAAATATGAGAACGAGAAGCTTGCAAGATTTTATCTAACCCTACACTGTCGTGGGTGATATGGCTCTAGAGATGAACAGCTTCAGGATTGGGCTTCAGGTGCAGAACGAGTAGGTAGAGGGCTATGGAAACACAGGAAATGAGAATGTAAGGGCTCAAAGCATGGGAATAAGGCACAAGAAGGTGGGAAAGAGCTGCAGTATCTGTCTTTGCTACCATCGCTTAAACTACTTGCTTGCCTTCCTTGCCCTGCCCAAATACCGTCTTGTGCCACCCACTCAGCCACCTCTTTCACAACCACGTATAGAACTGACTATTTGTTCATTTCTTTCAGCTGGTCCAGAAGCGACTCATGGCCTTGGAAGAGGAGGAAGATGCAGAGGCGCCTCCAAGTTTCAGTGGCGCTCAGTTGGACTCAAGTCCTTCTGGTTCTGTTGAGGATGAAGATGGGGATGGGCGGCTTCGGCCCTCACCTGGGCTTCAGGGGGCTGGGGGCGCCGCTTGCCTTGGAAAGGTTTCTTCTTCAGGAAAACGGGCAAGAGAAGTGCATGGTGGGCAGGAGCAAGCCCTAGATAGCCCCAGAGGGATGCACAGGGATGGGAACACTCTGCCATCCCCCAGCAGCTGGGACCTGCAGCCAGAACTTGCAGCTCCACAGGGAACTCCGGGACCCTTGGGTGTGGAGAGGAGAGGGTCTGGGAAGGTTATAAACCAGGTATCTCTACATCAGGATGGCCATCTAGGAGGCGCTGGGCCTCCTGGGCACTGCCTGGTGGCTGATAGGACTTCAGAGGCTCTGCCCCTTTGTTGGCAGGGAGGCTTCCAGCCTGAGAGCACTCCCAGTTTGGATGCTGGACTTGCAGAGCTGGCTCCTCTGCAAGGACAAGGGTTAGAAAAGCAAGTCCTGGGATTGCAGAAAGGACAACAAACAGGGGGTCGTGGAGTGCTTCCTCAAGGGAAGGAGCCTTTAGCAGTGCCCTGGGAAGGCTCTTCAGGAGCCATGTGGGGAGATGACAGAGGTACCCCCATGGCTCAGAGTTATGATCAGAATCCTTCCCCTAGAGCAGCTGGGGAGAGGGACGATGTCTGTCTCAGCCCAGGAGTTTGGCTGAGCAGTGAGATGGATGCTGTAGGCTTGGAGCTGCCTGTACAAATAGAGGAGGTCATAGAGAGCTTCCAAGTTGAGAAGTGTGTAACTGAGTATCAGGAAGGCTGCCAGGGACTGGGCTCCAGGGGCAACATTTCCCTGGGTCCTGGAGAAACCCTAGTACCTGGGGATACGGAGAGCAGTGTGATTCCCTGTGGAGGCACAGTTGCGGCAGCTGCCCTAGAAAAGAGAAACTATTGCAGCTTGCCAGGACCTTTGAGGGCCAACAGCCCACCCTTGAGGTCCAAAGAAAATCAAGAACAGAGCTGTGAAACCGTAGGGCATCCCAGTGATCTGTGGGCAGAAGGTTGCTTCCCATTGCTAGAAAGTGGTGATTCCACACTGGGGTCTTCCAAAGAAACCCTTCCACCCACATGCCAAGGCAATCTCCTTATCATGGGGACTGAGGATGCCTCCTCCTTGCCTGAAGCCAGTCAAGAGGCAGGGAGCAGAGGCAATTCCTTTTCTCCTCTGTTGGAAACCATAGAACCTGTCAACATACTAGATGTTAAAGATGACTGTGGCCTCCAACTAAGGGTCAGCGAGGACACCTGCCCACTGAATGTTCATTCTTATGACCCCCAAGGAGAAGGCAGGGTGGATCCTGATCTGTCCAAGCCTAAAAACCTTGCTCCTTTACAAGAGAGTCAGGAGTCTTACACAACTGGGACTCCCAAAGCAACATCTTCTCACCAGGGCCTTGGAAGCACTTTGCCTAGAAGGGGAACCAGGAATGCCATAGTTCCGAGAGAAACTTCTGTTAGTAAAACACACAGGTCAGCAGACAGGGCCAAAGGAAAGGAGAAAAAGAAAAAGGAAGCAGAGGAAGAGGATGAGGAACTCTCCAACTTTGCTTACCTCTTGGCCTCTAAACTTAGCCTCTCACCAAGGGAGCATCCCCTCAGTCCTCACCATGCCTCAGGAGGTCAGGGCAGCCAGAGAGCATCCCACCTGCTCCCTGCTGGAGCAAAAGGCCCCAGCAAACTTCCATATCCTGTTGCCAAGTCTGGGAAGCGAGCTCTAGCTGGAGGTCCAGCCCCTACTGAAAAGACACCCCACTCAGGAGCTCAACTTGGGGTCCCCAGGGAGAAACCCCTAGCTCTGGGAGTAGTTCGACCCTCACAGCCTCGTAAAAGGCGGTGTGACAGTTTTGTCACGGGCAGAAGGAAGAAACGACGTCGTAGCCAGTAGGGAGCAGCGGGACCATCTGACCCCACTTGCCAGTCCCTAAAGGTGGGTGCCCCAGAGTAGATTCCACCCCTGCTGCCCACCAATGGAGAATCCCAATGTTGAATCTCATCCCAATGTTGTTTTGTTGTTCTGCAAAAGTGGCAAGCATGGAGAGAGAGGTCAGACTGGCTAGGCTGCAGGGGGAATTACCTTTGGAAGGAGCTATATAGAAAAAAAATGAATAAAGTGTTTTGTTGGAAAATGCTCTCAGAGTGCCCTTTTTCTGTACTCGTGTCTTTGCTGCTAGATAGGGTTAAGATGCTATGAAGAAAGGCTGTAGGGGTAGTCTTAGATTCTACAAATCCATAAATCTTGTCTCCAGCCTTATCTTGGCTCCCTGCAGCCTCCTCCTGGCAACAGACTGGCTCTCAGGCTGTGATAAGTCTCCAAACTGAGGAATCTCCAATGATCACATTATACATCCCCTCTTCACAAGCCTGGACTTGGTGTCAGGAAGGCTTATCTGGGCATCTTATAATTATCTGCCTCCCTTGAAGTCTATAGATAGAAAGATGCTTTTCTACCTGTTAGATCTCTGAGATAGAGATCTAATTTTCTTTCTTCTTTTTTTGAGACAGGGTCTCGTTCTGTAGCCTAAGCTACAGAGTGCAGTGGCATAACGATGGCTTATTGCAGCCTCAACCTCCTGGGCTTAGACAATCCTCCCAGCTTAGCCTCCCAAGTAGCTGGGACTACAGGTGTGCACCAGCATGTCCAGCTAATTTTTCTATTTTTTTTTTTTTTTTGTAGAGGTGGGGTTTCACCACAGCATCCAGGCTGGTCTTGAACTCCTGGCCTCAAGCCATCTGCCTGCCCCAACCTCCCCAAGTGCTGGGATTACAGGCATGAGCTACCATGCCCAGCCTAATTTTCTAATTGTCCATAATTGTGTCTCTAGGGGGCCTTGTTTTCTTCCTTGAAAAGAGGCTGAACAGAAAGGACTTCAGTGTCCTTACTCATCTTGTGTCAGAGAAACCCTCCTGTGTAGCTGGTCTGACCTGCAGGGAGGAGGCCGGTTCCTTACTGACACAGCTCCTTGCTTCCACTAGGGGCGATGGAATCAAGTCTCAGTAGGATTATTAAATATGGAATGGTAGCAAGCTATTTTTTAATCTTTAATGAGGACAGAGCAAGAGGGAATGGGCTGAAAAGAGGTTCACGAGGAAGTCTGTTAAAATGTACATATAGGAGATGACAGCAGGAGGGAGGATATGGAACCTCAGTATGATTTCTGTGCAGGAAAGAGCCCTGTCCAAAGAGGAAGATTCATCCAGCTATGGCCAAGAGGACGAACCTTGGAAACATTTGTGATTTTCCAACGGGCGTCCTACAACCATTCATCCCTTTCCTTCCCAAGTAATGGTAACATCAATATGACTGGACTTCATTTTTTTTAATAGATATAGATATAGATTTATATTTATATATAAAATAGTTTTTTACAAAAAAATCAACCAAACAAAAAATTAAAATCAACTTAAAAAAACAACAACCAAACAACAATAACAAAATTCAAACAGGAGCAGAGATGGGGCTGAGGCATAGGGGAGGCCCCTAGCGCTGCCCTGAGGAGGAGGGGGTGAGAGGCTGAGGCACTCAGTCTCCCTTCTGCTTGGGTGCTTGCACAGTCCCATTGGCCAGAGCAGTGGGGTTGCCTGGGGATGAGGCATTTGGTGTCTGGGAGGTGCCTCGAGAGGTGTGTGGGGGGCGCAGGTAGGTGCTGAAGAGTTTCCCATAGAGTGGGTCATGGAGGGAGAAGTTCTGGAACTGACCTGGACAAATAAGAGATGGGGAAAAGTGAAAAGATCTAAGAACGAGAAGAGAATCTCCCTGCTTTTTTCTCAGAACTAAAACACCTTGTGCCTCTACTCTGTTTAACTTCTCAAATCCAGGTTCAGGTCCTCTCTTCCTTTCTAGCCTGTTCCTCCCAGCCTTACTTCTCATAGGTTCTGATCTCCAGCACTGGCCACTAACCCTTGTTCCCTCCCAGCCCAGTGCTTTCCTGGATGCTGATGGTGCCCCAAGTGCCCGTGTGGGGCTGAGAAGGCAGTGACTCACAGAGGGAGAGGCCTTGGCTGGATCCTGCCTGGCACAGCTCAGCATGCAAAGCTGTGGCAGCAGGGTGGGGTGAACCCAGCAGCAGGTGCAGGATGGTGCTGAAGCCGTCTTTGTACAGCAGGCGGTTGGGACCCTCTGCTTGCTCTTCAGCAAAGAGCTTGGGAGAGAAAGGGATAAGAGTCAAGTTCTCTCCTCATGCCATGGCCTCACCCTGCCCCACAGACTGGCCTGACAGGCTCCTCCTCTTCCAAAAGGGTGGTGCACAAGCCTTCCCTGACCCTCCAGTGCCCTTTCTGCAGAACTGTAGACTTTATAGCTTTTTCCTTCTTCTTCCTTCTTCTTGTGCCCAGCTAGGTCTCAACATAGAGGCCGGGGGTCTGCAGTTTTAGGCACTGTGGCACTAGGTTGGATACCAAATGCCTAGTATCTAGAAGCTACTGGAAACAGCATACCAAAATAGGCCTCCTGGAGCGGGGTGAGCATAGCCACTAAGCACCCCCCACCACCGCCACCCCCCATTACCTCAAAGGCCAGACGAGTTAGCTCTTCCAGGCTCCTGCCCCCATCCAGAGCTGCTAGTGCAAGGGCCACATCTCGGAAGTCCACCAAACCCTTGGTATCCTGGTGTGAAAAAGAAACCAGGGCAATGCGGGGACCCTGCGCCTCCCTTCCTGCTCTTTGGATTTTGACTCCTCCCTCTTCTCAGCAAATAATGGGGGTGATCCCTGTGACTGCTCCCCTCAGAACTGTGAGCTCCAAACTCTTTAGGATCCCTGGAATTTCTCTCAGGTCATAGGCTTTCTCAAGCTATATCAGGTCACCTGGTGACAAAGCCCTCCCATAAAGGGATCTCCTAGGAATGTAAGGGAATCCCTCAGGAATGCTGAAGCTACTATGAAGTCTCTGACATGCCAGCGGAGGGCAGTCCTGGTCCCCAGGCTAGACAAACTGGTTCTCTCTGACTCAGCCTATGTAGAAGAACTGGTCCAACAGATTGAAAGGGGGACACAGGCATAATTTCTTATGAAAAACACAAGGAGGATGCCTGCTGTACCAGCTCCATGGGAGACCATGGCATTTGAATTTTTGTTTCTGCTCTGCTACAGGCCAAGTGGGGGAAGCTCTTTTCGGGGACAGTCCGCCTCAATCTAAGGAATCTAGATACCTGGTCACTCTGTCCCTTCAGAGGATGTTGAGGGTCACATTCTGCATCTCAGATCAAAAAGCTCCTTGGGACCACTGTTGGTTGTTCATAAGCATTAAGAATCTTTTAGGATTTTTGGAAGTTGACCAGGGAACTTGGTTAAATCTTGAGAAATACATGGCTTGCTAAGAATCTTGAGAAAATTCCTCTAGAGAAGCTATAGGATATTTAAAATAATCTGCCCAAGTCCTACAGATATAGCTGGGTCTCAAGCTCTCAACCATCTAACTGTCCGGTGTTGTTTCTTCTACATGTCATCTTCCCACGTAACCTTCATGACTCTCCTTCAAAGACCCTCACCCAGCACCCCAAAAGGTCTTATGATTCCCCACCTTCGCCACTCTCTAAAGTGGTTTCAGAAATTTATAGTCCTTACTGATTATTTCTCCCTTGTTCCTCCTCATGATGATAACATTGCTCTTCAATGCACTGGATGCCTGATTAAAAAATGAATCTTCAGTGGATCTCAGGGGATGGCCATCTAACAACAGCTGTGAGAACATCCACTGAGGACTCCAAACTGTGAGTGACTGATACGGCCACTAGGAACATGTCAGCCTGGAGGGAAGCCTGGGTTCTGCTCTGCTCTTTGTTCCAGCTCCTTTACCTGCTGGAAGTAGCCAAAGGCACCAGCCACCGTCTGAGGATCAGAGAGCTGTAGCTGCCTGGCAAACTCTTCCTGGCTGATCATTCGACTCCGGCCTGGCTCTGCCCCAGCGTCCACATAGCCAGCGGACAGCCTACGATGGAATTGTTGAAGGCAGAGAGCTGTCTCAGTTTCCTTCTGGACACACCATCAGCAGGACTTCAGCCCCAGTACCAAGAGTTCTATCAGTACAGGTTTAGCTGCTGTTTTTCTAAGATGTACTGACTCACAGTCCCTTGAGAGCACTTCTTACTTTTTTCTTTTCTTTTCTTTTCTTTTTTGACGGAGTCTTGCTCTGTCACCCAGGCTGGAGTGCAGTGGCACGACCTTGGCTCACTGCAACCTCCACCTCCCAGGTTCAAGCAATTCTCCTGCCTCAGCCTCCCAAGTAGCTGGGATTACAGGCATGTGCCACCAAACCCGGCAAATTTTGTATTTTTAGCAGAGATGGGGTTTTGCCATGTTGGTCAGGCTGGTCTTGAACTCCTGACCTCAGGTGATCCACCCGCCTTGGCCTCCCAAAGTACTGGGATTACAGGTGTGAGCCACCGTGCCCGGCCCCTTCTTACTTTTTTCACCTGCATTATTACATATCCTTCCATTTATTCCCCACTTCCTTTTATTTATTCTATTATCTTTCTTCCCAGTTTTTTTCATTTTTAAGATTTTCCTTCTTCCTTCTCATTTCTCCCCTTCTTATTCTCTCTCTCTCTCTCTCTCTCTGTGACACTGCTCATACCCTCATTTCCAAGACCACTTACCCAGCCTTCCGAAGCACTTTTCCCAGTTCCCAGAGCTGTGGTTCCAACGCCACCTTCAGCCGGCCCACCACAATCACAGGTAAGCTCCCTACAAACTCACATTCGGTGGCTGGAATGCCCAGAGCCCTACAGGATGAAGAGGGATGGGATGGAGGGTAAGGAAGCAGAAGAAACTTCTGAGGGTTGGTTCCTGACCCTGGCCCGCTGACTGGAGTAGATCAGGCCCCTTTAAATCTCCCTGCCTCTGTCTCAGCTGTTCAAGAGCCCTTCCCACTGCCTGCTCCTCGATCTTTGCCTGAAAACCTCGCCCCCTCCACGCCCTTGTGGTTCCTTTGCCCTGTGCAACTGCTCCAGGAAATAGTTTGTGGGGCACTCACTGTGCCATGACCCTCTGAACATTGTTGGCATAGAGGGTGGGGTCCCTGCTCTCCTCAGGGCTGGGGTGATACACAGGAAGGAACTGAAACACAGACACACACAATTCTTATCAGAACCTCAAAGTGAGGTATGACCACTCCCACCCTCTTTTCCCAAGGTTTCAGGAGTCTGAGATGTACTTCTCCCACCGCCCCCACGGGAGCCATACCTCCACATCCACAATGCTGCAGGGCTGAGAGGCTGTGAGCCAGAGGACTTTGAGTCTAAGAGAAGAGAGATTTCGATACTCACCAATCTCTAACTATGGGCTCCTTCCCCGGCTCCCACACCCCACTCCCCTTCCCCAACCCAGGTGGGGAGTGGGAAAAGTTCTGCCCATTGATAATAGGGACAGACTCCTAGCCATACAGTCAGGTGGGTGAATATGCAGTTGGGAGACACAAGGAACGGCCAGAAACGCGGTAGGGAAAGAGAGCAGAGCTGCATGGATATGCCAGAGGAAGAACTGTAGGCAAGAGGAGGTTTGAGTAATGGAAGAAAAAGGCGAGAGGCATGCCTGATGGTGATGGTTCTCAGGAAGGGATAATTGAGGGAGAAAATCACAGAAACATGGGAAGATAAATGCATAGCAGCCATAATCACAGCAGGAACAGTTTAGGTGGGATAGCTAATCTAAGCACAGCCAGATTATATGGGGACATCAGGGGGAAAGTGGTGTCTCCTCTAGAGTTCTCTCAGTCCTCAGATGAAGAAGGGCCATTCACCTTGTCGGGAGATTGGAAGATGGGCCAGGAATTCTCTGATGGACCCTGCTCCCCACCCTCACCCCCAGGAATACCAGAACTCACACTCCAGGACCCCTCCATGCCCAGCTGGTGGTGTCCTATGGGAGAAACACAGGTGAGGGCATAAGAGCATTACTTTTTCCCCCTGGAACTGGCCAATCACCTTTGAACAGAGGGCCTGATCCCACCTCTGGTCACAGCCCCCAATGCACATCCCATTAAAGCACCAACAGTTTTCACTTATTTCCATTTGGGGTGGATTTGTGCTCCCCCTTTCCACTCTTTCTTGGACTAAGACTCACCAGACTGTTGGGGTAGCGGATGAGGACAGGCTGCACAGGCACCCCTGCGATGAAGGCTCCTAAATCCCATTTCCACCCCCACCCCCACAAGGCAGAGGTTAGTACACAGAAGTAGCTAGAGGGCATGAGGTATGGCAGTCTGGGACAGTTCTCAAATGAGATATGGTTTTGTTCCACTCATTGATAATTTTCTCTCTGACTCCTCGACTTGACAGCATTAGCTAGGAGGTTCCTGGTCTCCCTTCCTCTCCCATCCCTCCCCCTCTTCTACTTCTTGGGTTATTTCAGAGTCCCTCCCCAAATCTGGAACTTCTTTTTCCTACAGCCCACCACCCACTATCATTTTATTCACCTGGTTTGAACTTAAGCAAAGCCTTCTTGTTGGAACAGGTGCCCTCAGGAAAGAATAGCACCTGGGGTAAAAAAGAGCAGAATGAGGTGAAGAAGACTGAAGAAGGCTGTGGAGAGAGGAAAGGGAAGCCTCTTCAGGAGCACATGGAAAGTGAGAAGATGGTCTTGAGACCCTTACCCACCTGCGGCCACTTGCCTCCTGAGGTGGCCCGCCTTCGGACCTCCTCCACCACTCTGCGTCGAGAAGCCGGGTCATGCCGGGATACCAGGATGGCTTGGTTGAATCGAAGAAGGGCTGGGGTTGGGAAGGATACAAAGAGGAATCACTTCTTTCCTACCCAGGGGCAGTAACATCTGCAGCCTCCACTTCCTCAACAGCATGAGAAGTTTCTGTTATCTCTTTTTTTTTTTTTCGTTGTTGTTGTTTGAGACAGAGTTTCGCTTTTGTTGCCCAGGCTGGAGTGCAATGGCTCGATCTCAGCTCACCGCAAACTCCACCTCCTGGGTTCAAGTGATTCTCCTGCCTCAGCCTCCCGAGTAGCTGGGATTACAAGCATGGGCCACCACGCCCGGCTAATTTTTTTTTTTTTTTTTTTTTTTTTTACGCCCGGCTACTTTTTTTGTATTTTTAGTAGAGACAGGGTTTCTCCATGTTGGTCAGGCTGGTCTCGAACTCCCGACCTCAGGTGATCCGCCCGCCTTGGCCTCCCAACGTGCTGGGATTATAGGCGCGAGCCACCGTGCCTGGCCTGTTATCTTTGCCCTGGGACAATCCCTTTATAGTAGTTGTCCTTTTAGAGAACTGACCAGAACTCCCTCCAACACCTTCTCTCTGTCCCAGCCCTCAGAATCTAAGACTGGTTGACTAATGGTGTTAATTTATATTTCACTTGCCAACAGTCCCTCCCCACTTTGAGGCCAGTTCTTCACTCCAGTGTCTCCATTCCTGACTTTTTTTGCCCAGAGTTGTCACCCTGCCCTTCACCCCCTTTGAACTCTCTCACCTCCAATGACAGGAACGGAAAGGTTCTCAGCTCGGGACACAACTTTGGGCAGGTCACAGGGCAGCAGAACAATGGGGTCAAAGAAAGTGGAGTGTGGGGCAGCAACAAGGACAGGGGCTTGAAGGCGAGAGGCTCGCTGGCCACGAACGCGAATCCGGAGGAAGCCCAGCAGGAAAAACAGCAGGCGGCTCAGGCCTAGCACCCCGTTGTGGCACACAGTCCTGCCAGGGCAAGGCTGGGTATCAGCGGAAGCAGTGGTTCTAACCCTCACCCGCCCCCAGGTTCAGACACCGGGAAAGTAGGGCACCCCTCTTTTACCCTTAAATAGGATGTGACCAAGGGGCCAAGGTCTCTGGCCACTTTGGGACCTATCAGGGCACGTTACTTAGAGGTGAGGTCTGGGAACCACGTCTGAGCTTGGCTGACTCATCTCATCTACCCAAGCTAGACAGAATAGTTTCAGAATGCTCTCTTTTCTTCTTCTCAAAGAGGGAGCCGAATAGACAGCAGGGAAGAGAAGTAGGGTCTCTGGGGGCTGATCCCTCACTTACTTCCTCCATCCTGTAATTGGCTCCTGAAGCTGCTCCTCACTAAGACCGGCCACTTGAAGCCAGGCAAAGGGCCAGAGGAGAAAGAGGACGATAAAGGCCAGAAGCACTCGGATGGGGGCCAGCAATGCCCCCAGGAGGCAGAACTGCAAAGGGTGGGAGAGAATGCCACTTTAGAGCTTGGATATGCTCCCTCCACAGCATCCTTCTTCCACAAAGCATAGACCCAGGAGCAGACAGCCATCATCCCTTGCATGTGACAGGTGGTGTGGGAACAGGAGAGGGGACTGGGACCCAAGGTGGGATGAAGATACCAATGAGGGCAAGAGGATAAAAGATTAATGGCATCAAGGGCCTTATTTTCCTGTCTTTCAGTTGGTCCCTACCCCATTTATAAAACCGAAAGCCATAAAAAGCATCTAGCACTTAGAGGATTTAATAAGAATGCATGCGAAAGTGCAGGGCGCTGTGCTTGATGTACAGTAGGTTAGAGACAGGTCCTCCTCCCCCACATCTTATTCCATAAATAGCTCCTATGCCCAACAGAAACCAGGTGCACAGATCTTTCCACTTTGGGCCTAGGAGGCAGAGGGCTGTAAACAGCCAGAGGTCCAGTTTTCAGACCCGAGGTCATTTTCTGACACTGCTCAACAGCAATCTTATAGTACCGGGGGATATGGGAGACAAGAGCTCGGCCCCACTCTGCAAGGGAGAGAGGCTGCCAGGAGCCAGGATGACTCCATAGGCTGCCTTGGGGAAGAAGCAGGTAAGCAAACCTAGCCCCTGGAGCCTGCCTCCGGGGAGGTGATGACAGCAGAAACCTTGGACACTCCCTCCCCACACCACCTCCCAGCTCCCCTAGGCTGGCGCGGCCCTCCACTTCCTGTAGCCAACCTCCCTCTCAGCCTCCCTGCCCCCACCGGGAGGTGCTGCAGTGCGGGGTGGAGGGGGGTTGGAGGGAGTGGGAAGAGGGAGTGTAGGAAGGGCACAGGGTCGCAGGCTCCCGGCCCAGAAACGTCTTCCCTCTAAGTCATGCCTCGGAGGAATACTCGGCACGCCCCCGCCCCCGCCCCCACCCCCGGCTTCCCGTAGACTCTAACTCCATCCTAGCCATCAGGCTCTGCAGAATGTAATCCGCATTCCCCAGCGTCCTTCATCTCTCCAACCCCAGGGTCCCCTGCAGCCCTCCATCCCCACCTACTCAGTTTTTCCACATCTTCGAGCTTGTCTATCGCCCAAGCCCGCAGCGTCCTCTCCAGGACTCCTTGCCCAACCGCGGCCGCCCCCACGTGCGCACCCCCGGACTCCCGCTCCGCAAGCCTCTCAGCCATCTCCTTCTCGTGGATCCCCAAGCCCACCTTTGCCAGGGCTCAAATGGCCCCATTTTCCTATCCTCACGGGTCCTTCCGACGCCCGCTCCCCACACATTACCTTAACCCTCTGGAGGCGAGAGAGATGTAACTCATGCACGAAGGGGTTGGGGGATGCTGGGGGTCCGGGGGTGGGATCTAGGGGGGCCCAGTCCCCCGGACTTCCCTGGCTCATGGCGGGAGAAGGTGGGAGGGAGGGCACCCCGGCCCTGGCCCCGGCCACCACTCTGCAGAGCAGCTGCTGCTGCAGCAGCGGCGGCGGCGGCGCTCTGGCCCGGGCCCCGCCCGGTGCAGGCGGCCGAGGGGCGGGGAGCAGGCGGCGCAGCCCAGCCCGCCCGCGTTGTCAGGGCGCCGGCCGAGGGGCGGGGCTTCCAGCGCCCTGGCGCCCCTCCTCCTCCGCGCCCGCCGCGGCGCCCGCAGCCGCTCGGGCCATTGTTCCGCGGCTGCCAGGGCTGGAGCGGGCTGCGCCTGGGCTTCTGCGCCTCCGTCGTTCCTCTCTGAAGACCTGGCCTCCGCCTCGGAGTGGGAGTGGGTCTGGGAGCTGAGCGCAGAGCTCAGAGCGCCCTCTGTCCCCGCCCGGGCGTCGAGGTCACCCAGCAAGCGCAGATCGGGGTGAGGCTCTTGGGTTGGTAGGCAGGGAGGGACAGGTGGGCCGGATGCAGAGGCCGGCAGCTCGCGGGTGAGGCGGCGCCCCGCTCTTCCTATGGGCTCCTTGGCCCGGTCCGCGCCTCCTCGCAGGCGGACCACCTTTCCTTCCCGGTCCGTGGGGCGCCATCGCGCGGGGACTTGAGGCACTTGCGTCCTCTGGCGGCTGCATGGCGCCCCGCAACTCTCCACCTCCGCGTCCTGCCTGTGCTAGGCAGGGCCGCCTTTACTGGTGTGAGGGTTGCTTGAACCCTTGAGGCGCCAGGAATCCCTAGTACACTGACGCATGTGCTTCCCATGAGCCCGACAAGGTCTGGCAGGGGAGAGGCAGTGGTTCCTGATCTCTGTCACTCTCTGGGTGAACGCAGAGGACACAGTAGTAATTCCCCTCACCCACAAGCTCCAAGCTACCCTAGAAAACAAATTGTTTAGCCTCAGGCCATCGTTTGAGATCAGGGACCAGGGAATTAAGTGGACTCTGAGATCCATTGCCATGACAAAAGGGGTAAGAGTCTCATTGCTTGAGGAAAGAATACGCCTTAAGTTCACTTTATGTCTTCTGCCCATTGCATGGCAGTTAGGGGAGCTGAAGGAAGAAAGTGAAAGAAAAAGAGACCTCTCATAACCAAGAGTGTTTGCCGCCATTGGCTTCTCCTTTAAACCAAACTCCAAATTAATCTGCTCCAGGAAATTTTCTGAGCCCAGGCTGAGAGGGTTGAAGGCTCATGCATCCTACTGAGACCAAGGAGCTGCACTGGGATGTTTTTGTATATAACACAGAGGTCCCAACACAAATACATCATTTCCACATTTTATTTTTGTATAGATAGGGTCTCGCTATATTGCCCAGGCTGGTCTCGAACTCCTAGCCTCAAGTGAGCCTCCCACCTCGGCCTTCCAAACTGTTGGGACTACAGGTAGTGAGCCGCCATGTACAACCCAAACCTTTTTTTTTTAAGCAGATGATTTCAGCTTTCTCACCAGAACCGAGAAAGTACAACTGCATGTATTAGTCTCCCTTGCCTTGCCTTTGGGGAGAAGTTTGTGTGTGTGTGTGTGTGTGTGTGTGTGTGTGTGTGTGTGTGTGTGTGTTTGTCTTTTGTTGTTGTTGTTTTGGGACGGAGTCGCGCTCTTGCTCTGTTGCCCAGGCTGGAGTGCAATGGCGTGATCTCAGCTCGCTGCAACCTCCGTCTCCCGGCTCCAAGCAATTCTCCTGCCTCAGCCTCCTGAGTAGCTAGGATTATAGGCGGGCACCACCACACCCGGCTAATTTTTGTATTTTTAGTAGAGACGGGGTTTCATCATATTGGTTAGGCTGGTCTCGAACTCCTCACCTCATGATCCACTCGCCTCAGCCTCCCAAAGTGCTGGGATTACAGGCGTGAGCCACCGCACCTGGCGGTTTTTTTTTTTTTCTTTTTGAGATGGAGTTTCACTTTTGTTGCACAGGCTGGAGTGCAATGGCACAATCTCGGTTCACTGTATCCTCCGCCTCCCGGGTCAAGCGATTCTCCTGCCTCAGCCACCTGAGCAGCTGGGATTACAGGTGCCTGCCACCATGCCTGGCTAATTTTTTTTTTTTTTTTTGTATTTTTAGTAGAGATGGGGTTTCACCATGTTGGCCAGGCTGGTTTCGAACTCATGACCTCAGGTGATCCACTTGCCTCTGCCAAAGTGCTGGGATTACAGGCGTGAGCCACCACGCCCAGCCTAGAAGGAGGTTTAAGGACTAAGATAATGTTCATAAGGTGGGAGACAGGGAAAGATGAGAGTGTAGGGAAGTTTAAATTTTTCCCTTGAATGTTTGATAATTTGAGTCTATAAAACAAACTGATTACATAGATTAAAGGGAAAAGAGGCCTACGCATTTTTTTTTTTTTTTTTTTTTTGAGACGGAGTCTCGCTCTGTCGCTCAGGCTGGAGTGCAGTGGCACGATCTCAGCTCACTGCAACCTCCACTTCCCGGGTCACGCGATTCTCCTGCCTCAGCCTCCTGAGTAGCTGGGACTGCAGGTGCACGTCGCCATGCCTGGCTAATTTTTTTTTTTTTTTTTTTTTGGTATTTCTAGTAGAGACAGAGTTTCGCCATGTTAGGCAGGCTGGTCTTGAACTCCTGACCTCAGGTGATCCGCCCGCCTCGGCCTCCCAAAGTGCTGGGATTACAGGTGTGAGCCACTGGGTCCGGTCTCCTACAAATTTTATTTGATGCACGCATGTGTGTGGGAGTCATACAAAATATAAAAACTCAAAGAAATGCCCAATGGTTGCTTTTATACCACCTTGAGGTTACAGAAAGAATGAGAGCTTGCATCTGGGCAAAACAGGTTATGGTGGCAAGACAGGTTATGGGAGGGGGAGAAGAAGAGGCCTGGCCAGCAAAGACGGTCTTGGTGAACAAATGAAATCTCACAGACAGTAGCCTTTAGAAGGAATAGGTGGTAAAGGTTTCTGTTAGACCTTTTAAGATGTCAGACTCTCAGTTAATCTTTCCTAAATCTGGACAAGGGAGAGCACCAGAGAAAGCCTTTCTGCATCGATGCAGATTCTCTGCAGATGCAGATCTCCCCCACAAAAGACAGCTTTGCAGGCTTTCTGAACAGTCATCTCAAAATACATCAAATTCAGAATGAAAATTTTTGGTGCTCTTCAAGAGCAATAAATACTATGAAAACCCAACTACAGGGGTAGAGTTTTGATAATCAAATATTTGCCGGTGTCAGTCATCCAGGATGAACTAAGAAGTTCATTTCTATGAATGAGTCATGAAAGCATCCACATTTCCCCTTTTTCTAGCCCCTCACCAAACTATTATGATGGCCTTTCTGCAGGCAGTCTGAGAAGGGGCAACCCAGTTGTAAAGAATAACGTTGAGAAATTGATCATCTCTGGTAGCATCTGTCACTCCCTTGAAAATATCCACCAGGCTAGACAGGTTTCTCCTCCACCTGACCCCTGTATCTGTATCAGTCACCATTACCTGGGAGTACTGGAGACAATGACATATCAATGGAATTCTGGATTATTGGATACCATTAATCTTCTGTTGGAAGGGGGAACCAGACAGAAGCCAGAAGTTACTTCTGTCTAGACTCCCTCCCAACCTCCCATGTTTTATAGCCTCAAAGAAGGCAGTCAGCATTCTCAGCATTCTTTTCTTCTTTTTCTTCTTCTCTTCCTCCTTCACCTCCTCCTCCCCTTCTTCCTCCTCCTTTCCCTTCTCCTCCTCCCCTTCCCCTCCCTCTTCTTCCTTCTTCCTTCTTTCTTCTCCTCCTCCTCTTCATCCCCTCCCTCCTCCTTTCCCCCTCCTCCTTTTCCTCCTCTTCTCCTCATCCTCCCTCTCCTCCCCTCCTCTCCTTCCTCACTTCCCTTCTCCTCCTCCCCCTCCCCCTCCCTCCTCTTCTTCCTTCTTCCGTCTTTTCTTCTTCTCCTCCTCCTCCTCTCCATCCCCTCTCTCCTTTCTCTCCTCCTCCTTTTCCTCCTCTTCTCCTCCTCATCCTCCCTCTCCTCCCCTCCTCCTCTTCCTCCTCCTCATCCTCCCTCTCCTCCCCTCCTCCCCTCCTC
Source organism: Homo sapiens (assembly GCF_000001405.40). Taxonomy (NCBI): domain Eukaryota; kingdom Metazoa; phylum Chordata; class Mammalia; order Primates; family Hominidae; genus Homo; species Homo sapiens. The sequence goes on from NW_025791798.1 coordinate 111,970, forward strand.
CTCTTCCTCTTCTCCCCTTCCCTTCCTCCTCCTTCTCTTCCCCCACTTCCTACCTCTCCTACTCCTCTTCCCCCATCTCCTCTTCCTTCTCCTTCTCCCCCTCTCCTCCCCCTCCCATCTCCTTCTCCTCCCCCCACCTCCTTCTCCTCCTCCTTCTTCTTTTAAATAGAGGCAGGGTCTTGCTTTGTTCGTCTTAAACTCCTGGGCTCAAGCAATCATTCTGCCTCAGCCTCCCAAAGTGCTGGGATTACAGGTGTGAGCCACTACTGGTGGCCCGTCCTTTTTAAATTTTTAATTTTATTAATCTTATTTTCATTTCTTTTTAATAGAGATAGGGTCTCACTATGTTGACCAGACTGGTCTGGAACTCCTGGTCTCAAGCAGTCCTTCTGCCTCAGCCTCCCAAAGTGCTAGGATTACAGGTGTGAGCCACCACACTAGGACAAGATTTATTTCTGTTATGAACTGAATGTTTGTGTCTCTCTTCCCCCAGTTCATATGTTGAAGCCCTAGACCCCAATGTGATGGCTATTTGAAGGTGGAGTCTTTGGGAGATAATTGGGTCTAGATTAGATCATGAGGGTAGGACCCTTATGATGGGATTAGTGCCCTTAAAAGAAGAGAGAGAGGGAGAGGGAGAGAGGGAGAGAGGGAGGGAGGGAGAGAGAGAGAGAGAGAGAGAGAGAAAGAAAGAAAGAAAGAGATCTTTCTTTCCATGAGTACATATGGAGGAAACGACATGTGAGCACACAGTGAGAAGACAGCTGTCTACATATCAGAAAGTTGGCTCTCACCAGACAACGAATCTGCAGGCATCTTGATCTTGGACTTCCCAGCCCCTAGAACTGTGATAAATAAATTTCTGTTGTTTAAGCCACCCAGTTGATGGCATCTTATTACAGCAGCCTGAGAAGATTAAGACAATTTCTTAAAGGTTCTTAGAGACGATTCCATAGCTTTCTTTTATCTCTTATTTAAAGGAGGGCAGGTTTCTGTACATCTTGTGTTTTCCAAGATAGTTCCAATAATTTTATAATTTCATTTTTTTTCAATTAAGGCAATTCATACATGCATAGTTACACATAATTTTACTTTTATGACTTTAATATTGTATTTTTTTTAATGTGCACTTTTATTGAACTGGTCTCAAGTCAGTGTACAGGTAACCCCTTGCTACTTTCACACCTCCATCCAATCCCAGGGAGACCAAAAGCCTTCATACACCTCAAGTTTAGGGACAAAAAGTGTGGCCACAATGGCTCATTCAAAATAAAACAAAATAGGCCAGACGCAGTGGCTCATGCCTGTAATCCCAGCACTTTGGGAGGCCAAGGCAGGCTGATCACTTGAGCTCAGGAATTTGAGACCAGCATAGGCAATATGGTGAAAACCCATCTTTACCAAAAATACAAAAAACTAGCCAAGCAGGGTGGTGCACTTCTGTGGTCTCAGCTACTCGGGAGGCTAAGGTGGGAGGATTACTTGAGCTGGGGAGCTGGAGGTTGCAGTGAGCTGAGATCGCCTCACTGCATTCCAGCCTGGGTGACAGAGTGAGACCCTGTCTCAAAAAAGAGTAAAAACAAAACAAAAACAAAATACAAAGTTATTAAGGCTAAGATTTAAAACATTTTGCATTACGTAATTTGCATGAAAGCAATGCTATCACCTCCCCTGTGTGGACTTAGGAGAGGACTGGGCCATTTTCCTTAGATAGAAGTGGAGTGGCTTTTGGGAGGGCAAAGGAACTTCCTGTAACAATACATTTCATGATATTTGCAATGACTATTAAAAAAAAAAGAACAGGCCTGGCGTCGTGGCTCATGCCTGTAATCCTAGCATTTTGTAAGGCTGAGGCAGACACATCACCTGAGCCCAGGAGTTTCAGACCAGCCTGGGCAACATAGTGAGACCCCTTTTCTACAAAAGATAGAAAAATTAGCAAGGCACGGTGGTGTGCACTGTAGTCCCAGTTATTTGGGAAGCTGAGGTGGGAGGATCACCTGAGCCCTGGAGGTTGAGGTTGCAGCGAGCTGTGATTGGGCCACTGCACTACAGCCTTGGTGACAGAGTGAGACCCTCAGAGTGAGGCCCTGTCTCAAAATAAATAAATAAAATAAAAATTAAAAATAACTATGTACAATCCAAGTTCTTGGCCACATTGTAGAACTTTGGGGGATGCTCATTCCAACAGACTGTTGTCACTTTCACTGTTCCAGTTTGTAAATCCTGAATCATCAAGCCAAAAAAAAAAAAACCAAAAAAAAAAGAAACCCCAAACCAAAACAGAACCCGAAACCAATCAAACAAACAAACACTCCCCAAAAAACAAATAAAGCCATGCCAATCTCATCTTGTTTTCTATGCAAGTTAGGTTTTTGTTAAGAAAGGGTATAACACAACTAAGTAACAGTCTGCTTAGAAGCATTTGCAGTAGAAGATGGGGGCGAGAGAAGTGGGACTCGTATTCCTGCCTGCTGATCCACATCTGCTGGAAGGTGGACAGCGAGGCCAGGATGGAGCCAATGATACACATGGAGTATTTGCACTCAGCAGGAGCAATAATCTTGATCTTCATCATGCTGGGAGCCAGGGCAGTGATCTCCTTTTGCATCCTGTTGGGCGATGCCAGGGTACATGGTGGTGCCGCTGGACAGCACTGCATTGGCGTACAGGCCTTTATGGATGTCCACGTCACACTTCATGATGGAGTTGAAGGTAGTTTCATGGATGTCACGGGTTCCATGCCCAGGAAGGAAGGCTGGAGGAGAGGCCAGGGCAGTGGAACTACTTGTTGCAGATGGCGATGACCTGGCTCTGGAGCAGCTTGTAGCTCTTCTCCAGGGAGAAGCTGGAGGACATGGTGGCCATCTCCTACTTGAAGTCCAGGGCAATGTAGCGCAGCTTCTTCTTGATGTCACGCATGATTTCCTGCTGGGCCGTGGTGGTGAAGCTGTAGCCACGCTCGGTGAGGATCTTCGTGAAGTAGTCAGTCAGGTCCCAGCCAGCCAGGTCCAGACATAGGATGGCACTGGGGAGGGTGTACCCCTTGTAGTTTGGTAGTGTGGGTGACCCCATCACTGGAGTCCATCGCAATGCCAGTGGTACAACCAGAGGCATACAGCAACAGCACAGCATGGATGGCACATATATGGCAGGGGTGTTGAAGGTCTCAAACATGATCTGGGTCATCTTCTCGCAGTTGGCCTTGGGGTTCAGAAGAGCCTCAGTCAGCAGCATGGGATGTTCCTCAGGAGCCATGTGCAGCTTGTTGTAGAAGGTGTGGTTCCAGATCTCCATGTCGTCCTAGTTGGTGATGATGCTGTGCTGGATGTGGTATTTCAGGATCAGGATGCCTTTCTTGCTCTGGGCCTTGTCACCCACATAAGAGTCCTTCTGAGCCATGCCTGCTGTCATGTACTGGTTCCGTGGGCACCCCGTGATGGAAGGCAAGATACCCTGGGGGGCATTGTCACTGCAAGTGTGAAGATATCATCATTCATGGGGAGCTGGCACCAAGTTTGGACTGGTGGAGGAGTGTCGAGCGTGAGGGTCTGTGCTTGGGGCAGATACAGTCTTGGTCTAATATTTTAACATAAATTAACCATATCAGAAAGAGTTATTAAACTTAGGACTCAAACCTATGGAGTAATAATTTAATACTATAATTAAATTAAACACAATCACATACACCTAACCCTCAACGATATACAGAGAAAGTTTTGATACTAATTTTCAATTCTTTATCTCTATGAAGCTGATGAAAAATTCTTAGGCAGTGTGCCTGGTGTGGGATTTTGTAAACCAAAAATAATATTCTAGGCTTCCCAATCAACTGAATAGACCTATCCTCTCAGCCAAGGGCATTCCAAAATTAACCTGAAAAACTAGTTCAGACCATGATGAGATGCAGGAGATGGGGCATGACTTATTTACACTCTCCTGTCTTTGGAATGCAGGCATGGGTGACCAGCATTAACATTAAAATAGAGATCTTAAGAATAAAACAGACTTCCTGTAGCAATAAGACACCAAATTCCAGCCTGACTAAAATAAATCGAATATATATATATATACATATATGTAAAACACTTTGATTTCTTACATATATATTATTATTATATATATTTTGTTATTTTTTTGAGATGAAGTCTCACTCTGTTGCCAGTTCGGAGTGCAGTGGTGCGATCTCAGCTCACTGCAACCTCTGACTCCATGGTTCAAGCTATTTTCCTGCCTCAGCCGACCAAGTAGCTGGGATTACAAGCACACACCACCACGCCCAGCTAATTTTTGTATTTTTAGTAGAGATGGGGTTTCACCATGTTGGCCAGGATGGCCTTGATCTCCTGACCTCATGATCTGCCCACTTTGGCCTCCCAAAGTACTGGGATTACAGGCATAAGCCACCGTGCCCAGCCCCAAAATATATTTCTTTCAGAGATATATATATATATATATATATATATATATATATATATATTATATAATGTGTGTGTGTGTGTGTGTGTGTGTGTGTGTATATTTTTTGATACAGAGTCTGTTACCCAGGCTGGAGTGCAGTGATGTGATCTTGGCTCATTGCCACCTCTGCCTCCTGAGTTCAAGCAATTCTAGTACTTTAGTTTCCCAAGTAGCTGGGATTACAGGCGTGTATCACCATGCCCAACTAATTTTTGTATTTTTAGTAGAGATGAGGTTTTGCCCTGTTTGCGAGGCTGGTCTTGAACTCCTGGCCTCAAGTGATCCACCCACCTTGGCCTCCCAAAATGCTGGGATTACAGACAAGAGCTACCATGCCCAGCCTTCTTTGATATATTTTGAAATGGTCCTGCAAAGCTTTCTCTCATTGGGAAAATGTATATTCTATAGAGAATCCTTGATTCTTTCCTGATCCAGGAAGGAATTAACTGAGTCTGACACCTTTTTGGGTCTGATAAATGTCAGGCCTGTGAGCCCAAGCTAAGCCATCATATCCCCAGTGACCTGCATGTATACATCCAGATGGCCTGAAGCAACTGAAGATCCACAAAAGAAGTGAAAATAGCCTTAACAGATGACATTCCACCATTGTGACTTGTTTCTGCCCCACCCTAACTGATCAATGTACTTTGTAATCTCCCCCACCCTTGAGAAAGTTCTTTGTAATTCTACCCACCCTTGAGAATGTACTTTGTGAGATCCACCCCTGCCCGCAAAACATTGCTCCTAACTCCACCGCCTATCCCAAAACCTGTAAGAACTAATGATAATCCACCACCCTTTGCTGACTCCTTTTTCAGACTCAGCCCGCCTGCACCCAGGTGAAATAAATAGCCTTGTTGCTCACACAAAGCCTGTTTGGTGGTCTCTTCACATGAACATGTGAGACATTTGGTGCTGAAGACCCAGGTCAGCGGGGCTTCTTCGGGAGACCAGTCCCCTGTCCTCACCCTCACTCCATGAAGAGATCCACCTACGACCCCGGGTCCTCAGACCAACCAGCCCAAGGAACATCTCACCGATTTTAAATCGGATAAGCAGCCTCTTTTTACTCTCTTATCCAACCTCTCTCACTATCTCTCAACCTCTTTCTCCTTTCAATCTTGGCGCCACACTTCAATCTCTCCCTACTCTTAATTTCAATTCCTTTCATTTTCTGGTAGAGACAAAGGAGACACATTTTATCTGTGGACCCAAAACTCCGGCGGTGGTCACAGACTTGGGAAGGCAGCCTTCCCTTGGTGTTTAATCATTGCAGGGATGCCTCTCTGATTATTCACCCATGTTCCATTGGTGTCTGATCTCCGTGGGGATGCCTGCCTTCATCATTCACCCACATTCCCTTGGTGGCAAGTCAATTGCCGGGATGCCTGCTTTGGCTGCTCACCCACATTGCAGCCCAGGGCTGCTCCCCAACCCCCTTCTCCATGTCTCTACCCTTCTCTTTAAACTTGCCTCCTTCACTATGGGCAAACTTCCACCCTCCATTCCTCCTTCTTCTCCCTTAGCCTGTGTTCTCAAGAACTTAAAACCTCTTCAACTCTCACCTGACCTAAAATCTAAGCATCTTATTTTCTTCTGCAACATCACTTGGCCCCAGTACAAACTCGACAATGGTTCTAAATGGCCAGAAAATGGCACTTTTGATTTCTCCATCCTACTAGATCTAGATAATTTTTCTCGAAACATGGGCAAATGGTCTGAGGGGCCTGACATCTGGGCATTCTTTTACACATCGGTCACTCCCTAGTCTCTGCTCCCAATGCAACTCGTCCCAAATCTCTCTTCTTTCTCTCCTGTCTGTTCTTTCAGTCTCCACCCCAAGTTCTGAGTCCTTTGAATGCTTCTTTTCTACAGACTCATCTGACCTCTCCCCTTCTCCCAAGGCTGCTCCTTGCCAGGCCAAGCCAGGTCCCAATTTTTCCTCAGCCTCTATTCCCCCACCCTATAATCCTCCTATCACCTGCCCTCCTCACACCTGGTCTGGCTTACAGTTTTGTTCCGCAACTAGCCCTCCCACACCTGCCCAACAATTTCCTCTTAAAGAGGTGGCTGGAGCTAAAGGCATAGTCAAGGTTAATGCTCCTTTTTTCTTTATCTGACCTCTCCCAAATCAGCTAGCATTTGGGCTCTTTTTCATCACATATAAAAACCCAGCCCAGTTCATGGCCCGTTTGGCAACAACCCTTAGACGCTTTACCGCCCTAGACCCAGAGGGGCCAGAAGGCCATCTTATTCTCTTTGCATTTTATTACCCAATCCCCTCCCGGCATTAAAAAAAGCTCCAAAAATTGGATTCCAGCCCTCAAACCCCACAACAGCACTCAATTAACCTTGCCTTCAAGGTGTACAATAATAGAGTAGAGGCAACATATTTCTGAGTTGCAATTACTTGCCTCCACTGTGAGAGAAACCCCAGCCACATGTCCAGCACACAAGAACTTCAGAACGCCTGAACTGCAGTGGCCAGATGTTCCTCCAGGACCGCCTCCCCCAGGATCTTGCTTCAAGTGCTGGAAATCTGGCCACTGGGCCAAGGAATGCCCACAGCCCAGGATTCCTCCTAAGCTCTGTCCCATCTGTGCAGAACCCCACTGGAAATTGGACTGTCCAACTCACCTGGCAGCCACTCCCAGAGCCCCTGGAACTCTGGCATAAGGCTCTCTGACTGACTCCTTCCCAGATCTTCTCGGCTTAGCAGCTGAAGACTGACGCTGCCCAATTGCCTTGGAAGCCCCCTGGACCATCACAGATGCTTTGGGTAACTCTTACAGTGGAGGGTAAGTCCGTCCCCTTCTTAATCAATACGGAGGCTACCAACTCCATATTACTTTCTTTTCAAAGGCCTGTTTCCCTTGCCTCCGTAACAGTTGTGGGTATTGACAGCCAGGCTTCTAAACCTCTTAAAACTTCCCAACTCTGGTGTCAACTTGGACAACATTCTTTTATGCACTGATTTTAGTTATCCCCACCTTCCCAGCTCCCTTATTAGGTCGAGACATTTTAACTAAATTATCTGCTTCCCTGACTATTCCTAGGCTACAGCCACACCTCATTGCTGCCCTTTTCCCCAGTTCAAAGCCTCCTTCATGTCCTCCCCTTGTTATCTCCCCACCTTAATCCACAAATATGGGATACCTCTACTCCCTCCCTGGCAACCGATCACACTCCCCTTACCATCCCATTAAAACCTAATCACCCTTACCCTGCTCAATGCCAATATCCCATCCCGCAGCACCCTTTAAAAAGATTAAAGCCTGTTATCACTCGCCTGTTACAGCATGGTGTTTTAAAGCTTATAAACTCTCCTTACAGTTCCCCCATTTTACCTGTCCTAAAACCAGACAAGCCTTACAGGTTAGTTCAGGATCTGCACCTTATCAACCAAATTGTTTTGCCTATCCACCCCATGGTGCCAAACCCATATACTCTCCTATCCTCAATACCTCCTTCCACAATCCATTATTCTGTTCTGGATCTCAAACGTGCTTTCTTTACTATTCCTTTGCACCCTTCATCCCAGCCTCTCTTCGCTTTCACTTGGACTGACCCTGACACCCATCAGGCTCAGCAAATTACCTGGGCTGTACCGCCGCAAAGCTTCACAGACAGCCCCCATTACTTCAGTCAAGCCCAAATTTCTTCCTCATCTGTTACCTATCTCGGCATAATTCTCACAAAAACACACGTGCTCTCCCTGCTGATCATGTCCGACTAATCTCCCAAACCACAACCCCTTCTACAAAACAACTCCTTTCCTTCCTAGGCATGGTTAGGTACTTCCACCTTTGGATACCTAGTTTTACCATCCTGACTAAACCATTATATAAACTCACAAAAGCAAACCTAGCTGACCCCACAGATCCTAAATCTTTTCCCCACTCCTCTTTCCATTCCTTGAAGACAGCTTTAGAGACTGCCCCAACACTAGCTCTCCCTGATTCATCCCAACCATTTCATTACACACAGCTGAAGTGCAGGGCTGTGCAGTTGGAATTTTTACACAAGCACCAGGACCGCACCCTGTAGCTTTTTTGTCCAAACAACTTGACCTTACTGTTTTAGGCTGGCCATCATGTCTCCGTGCTGTGGCCACCGCCGTCCTAATGCTTTTAGAGGCCCTCATACTCACAAACTATGCTCAACTCACTCTCTACAGTTCTCGTAACTTCCAAAATCTATTTTCTTCCTCACACCTGACACATATACTTTCTGCTCCCCGGCTCCTTCAGCTGTACTCACTCTTTGTTGAGTTTCCCACAGTTACCATTGTTCCTGGCCCAGACATCAATCCAGCCTCCCACATTATTCCTGATATCACACCTGACCCCCATGACTGTATTTCTCTGATACACTTGGCATTCACTCCATTTCCCCATATTTCCTTCTTTCCTGTTCCTCACCCTGATCACACTTGGTTTATTGATAGCAGTTCCACCAGGCCTAATTGCCACACACCAGCAAAGGCAGGCTATGCTATACTATCTTCCACATCTATCATTGAGGCTACTGCTCTGTCCCCCTCCACTACCTCTCAGCAAGCCAAACTCATTGACTTAACTCAAGCCCTCACTCTTGCAAAGGGACTACATGTCAATATTTATACTGACCCCATATCCTGCACCACCATGCTGTTTTATGGGCTGAAAGGTTTCCTCACTATGCAAGGGTCCTCCATCATTAATGCCTCTTTAATAAAAACTCTTCTCAAGGCCGCTTTACTTCCAAAGGAAGCTGGAGTCATATACTGCAAGGGCCATCAAAAGGCATCAGATCCCATCGCTCAGAACAACACTTATGCTGATAAGGTAGCTAAAAAAACAGCTAGCATTCCAACTTCTATCCCTCATGGCAGCTTTTCTCCTCATCAGTCACTCCCACCTACTCCCCCACTGAAACTTCCACCTATCAGTCTCTTCCCACACAAGGCAAATGGTTCTTGGACCAAGGAAAATATCTCTTTCCAGCCTCACAGGCCCATTCTATTCTATGGTCATTTCATAACCTCTTTCATGTAGGTTACAAGCCGCTAGCCCACCTCTTAGAACTTCTCATTTCCTTTCCATCGTGGAAATCTATCCTAAAGGAAATCACTTCTCAGTGTTCCATCTGCTATTCTACTACCCCTCAGGGATTATTCATGCCCCCTCCCTTCCCTACACATCAAGCTCCAGGATTTGCACCTGCCCAGGACTGGCAAATTGACTTTACTCACATGCCCTGAGTCAGGAAACTAAAATACCTTTTGGTCTGGGTAGACACTTTGACTGGATGGGTAGAGGCCTTTCCCACAGGGTCTAAACTCGCCAACCAAGCAAACAATAACGTTGAACCTCCTTGGACACTCTCTAATTGGACATCCTGGGTACTACCAATTCTTAGTCCTTTAATACCTGTTTTTCTCCTTCTCTTATTCAGACCTTGTGTCTTTCTTTTAGTTTCTCAATTCATACAAAACTGCATCCAGGCCATCATCAATAATTCTATACGGCAAATGCTCCTTCTAACAACCCCACAATATCACCCCTTACCCCAAAATCTTCCTTCAGCTTAATCTCTCCCACTCTAGGTTCCCACACCACCCCTAATCCTGCTTGAAGCAGCCCTGAGAAACATCGCCCATTCTCTCTCCATACCACCCCCAAAAAATTTCGCCGCCCCAACGCTTTACCACTATTCCATTTTATTTTTCTTATTAATATAAGAAGACAGGAATGTCAGGCCTGTGAGCCCAAGCTAAGCCATCATATCCCCAGTGACCTGCACGTATACATCCAGATGGCCTGAAGCAACTGAAGATCCACAAAAGAAGTGAAAATAGCCTTAACTGATGACATTCCATCATTGTGATTTGTTTCTGCCCCACCCTAACTGATCAATGTACTTTGTAGTCTCCCCCACCCTTGAGAAGGTTCTTTGTAATTCTCCCCACCCTTAAGAATGTACTTTGTGAGATCCACCCCTGCCCGCAAAACATTGCTCCTAACTCCACCGCCTATCCCAAAACCTGTAAGAACTAATGATAATCCACCACCCTTTGCTGACTACTTTTTTGGACTCAGCCCGCCTACACCCAGGTGAAATAAACAGCCTTGTTGCTCACACAAAGCCTGTTTGGTGGTCTCTTCATATGGACACGAGAGACAATAAGAGCTCTGAGGCCTGCTACCTGAAGGTTTCATATGCATGATAAAGCCTTGATCTCCACAACCCCTTATCTTAACCCAGACCTTCCTTTGTACTGATTCCAGGTCTTTAGATAATAAACTCTTTCTCTTTTTGGTAGAAGATAGCTTAAAAAACACACACTCCAAAAAACTTCTTTCAACCAATTGTCAGTTAGAAAATCTTTGAATCCACCTATGACCTGGAAGGAACCACCCCTCGCCCCCTCTAGTTGTCCCACCTTTCCTGACCGAACCAATGTACATCTTACATGTATTGAGTGATGTCTTATGTTTCCCTGAAATGTATAAAACCCAGCTGTAGCCCAACTATCCTGGGCACATGTTCTCTAGATCTACTGCGGCTGTCTCATGGGCCATTGGTCACTCATATCTGGCTCAGAATAAATCTCTTCAAATATTTTATAGAGTTTGACCTTTTCATCAATAATCTCTATTCTTTTATCATTTGTTTTCCTCATCTTTTGTGTGTCCTGCAATGTCCTTGCTTCTTGCCACTCCTTCCCTGGTTGTTACTTCATTGTATTATCAGAGGAGTTTGAACCAGAGTGACTCCATCTTGAATAGGGGCTGGGTAAAATAAGGCTAACAACTACTGGGCTGCATTCCCAGGTGGATAGGTATTCTTGGTCACAGGATGAGATAGAAGGTCAGCATAAGGTACACGTCACAAAGACCTTGTTGACAAAAGGGTATGGTAAAGAAGATGGACAAAACCCACCAAAACCAAGGTGGCAACAAAAGTGACCTCTGGTTGTCCTCACTGCTCATTATACACTAATTACAATGGATTAGCATGCTAAAAGAGACACTCACCAGCACATGACAGTTTACAGATGCCATGGCAATGTCAGGAAGTTATCCTATATGGTCTAAAAACGGGAGGAACCCTCATTTCCACAAATTGCCCACCTCTTCCCCAGAAAACTTATAATCCACCCCTTGTTTAACATATAATCAAGAAGTAACTATAAGTATAATCAGTTGAGCAGCCCATGCTGCTGCTCTGTCTATGGAGTAGCCATTCTTTATTCCTTTACTTTCTTAATAAACTTGCTTTCACTTTAGTCTATGGACTCACCCTGAATTCTTGCTTGGGTGAGATCCAAAAGCCCTCTCTTGGGGTCTGGATCAGGATCCCTTTCTGGTAATGTCTTCTGGTTGAACCACGAAGGGACAATATTGAGGAAACCTCTGACCCAAAGAAAACAGCAATACCAATTGGCCGACTTTGAGTAAGAGGAGGGGTACATTTAACGTGGGTAAAGGATGGAATTGGGTTAGAGGCCCAACTTAGGAGGGTTAGAGTCCCTACTAAGACAGAGTTAAAGGCCTCCTTAATAAAAGGCAAGGACACTTGACCAAACTTGGGTTAGAGGCCCAACTTAGGAAGGTTAGAGCCCTTCCTAAGATTTAGGGGGTTACAGGTTAGAGGTCCCTCTCAGTAAAGTCCCTCTTGGTTAAAAATGGATTTGGAATTATGGGATGTTATCTGCTATTCTCTTTGGATTAATCTGCCTTGCACTGTTTGCTGATGGCTGTGGGTGACAGGATTAGGCATGTACAGGATCACCAGATGTGGGAGCATTTTTCTCCCTAAAGTGGGAAAGATGAGAGCTGATGGGACTGTTGGAAGAGCTCCCTTCATTACTGAAAAGCAGGTGCCTGAACTTTTGATTCAGCGTCGCTGCAATGGGTGGGTCTTTCTCTGGCCTCCCGGAGCTATGTACCCTGCCACAGACAATGCTTTTCTCCCCTTTTCTCCTTTCTCTTTTCTATCTTTTCTGTTACTCAGAGCCAACTGTCTGCTGTTTCATCTTGCCCAGAGACCACATGTTGAAACTCCTGGTTGGAAGATCATTGTACCCCACTTTTCTTTTTAGCATATAATCAAGAAGTAACTAAGTATAATCAGTTGAGCAGCTGATGCCGCTGCTTTGTCTTTGGAGTAGCCATTCTTTACTCCTTTACTTTTTTTTTTCTTTTTTGAGACGGAGTTTTTGCTTTTGTCACCCAGGCTGGAGTGCAGTGGCACTCTTGACTCATTGCAACCTCCACCTCCCAGGTTCAAGCAATTCTCCTGCCTCGGCCTCCTGAGTAGCTGGAATTACAGGCACCCACCACCACACCCAGCTAATTTTTGTATTTTTAGTAGAGACGGAGTTTCACTCTGTTGGCCAGGCTGGTCTCGAACTCCTGACCTCAGGTGATCTGCCCACCTCGGCCTCCCAAAGTGCTGGGATTACAGGCTTGAGCCACCGTGCTCCATGATAACTTTTCAGAAAACTTTTTTCTACTTTTTGCCACAACTTTTTTACATTTTTATCCGATAACTTTTTCACCCCAAAACTTTTTTAATCCCATACCTTTTTTATGTTGTGTTCTTTCAATAAACACTTGCATAGTTATACTACATTTTTGTAACAATGAAACAGATTATCTCATGCCAAGCATGCCCAGTATTTGCACAATATCAATACTTTTAATACTATAGTTTTCAAGACACGCAAAATAAAATTTTAAGGCAAAAACAGCACTTTGCAACAGTTTAAAAATTTATTGCATTACAGTAGCATCACATCAGCAGTCAATAATGCCACTTTAAGCAAAAGTCTTTCAGTATTTCCGTTACACATTCTGTTAACAAGAACTCATACATTGGTAAAATTCATTCTAAGAAAACTTGGCAAATAACGCTTTGGCCTGTAATTGGCATTTCTTTCTCTACTTTTCCTTCCCACCATTTCTTCCTTTTAAACTACAGGATTTATATTTTAAAATGTTTTATTTCAGAACATTAAGATAGCAGTTACATTTTTTAATATTTATATTATTTTAAAATGACTCTTTAAGATACAGTTTTAAACCCATGGGCTAGAAATCATACGACTGTTAATTAGCCGCATTATTTGGTCTAACATTTTTTATCATTCTGAAACTGGATTTGTGTAATACATTGATAAATTCATACAATTTGGAAGAGTCAGTTGAAGTTACAAGGACCCAATATCTGCCCTCTTTCAGTGAATGCCGGCAAATCTGTTATTCCATTGGCAAAATCGTATTGCTGCTCTCCTGTTAATCTCACATTTATAAAAGGATCATGAGGCTGCCAAGTGCTAAAAATGGAGATGGTCTAGTAACTAGAAAACTCCCCACCCCAGGGAGCACACCTACATATCTCCCTACAACCTAATAATGTGATGTGTTTTGGAACACAGACATTAGAACTTCATGAAGTTTTAACTGTTGATTCTTTCCCAAGCATCATCAAGTTATGATTTAGGCAATGTATGATTGAAATGCATTCATTCATCATGCATAGGCACAATCACAGAAATATTGCACAAAGTATGTCCCTGACTGAAAATGAGAGGTACAAAAACGTATTTCACTCTTCGTAAAGAAGTTTGTGAGGAAATACAACTCTGCGATCGTATAGACATGTTTCCTGATAATACAGACATTCACAAACAGTAGATTGCACCACAGTGTGTAAACATTTTAAGTTGCATAAACTTCTCCTTGATTTTCAAAGATAATATAATACTGTCTACTAAAATTCCTTTTTGTTTCAACTAAGTACTCTCACATATATTAGTTTATAATAATGTTTGTTATTACTTTCTAAAGTGTTTTCCACTCAAGGAAAAGAAGTAAATTCCTATGTCAGAGTAACCGAGGTGGTTGAAGAATAGGTATTAGCCAGAGAGGTCTAGATAGTAAAATCAAACTTCAAGCCTCAAAGAAGCTCCATGAACAGAGAGGAATGCCAGGTGTCACACAGCTTTCCTTCACTCTAATTCATTCTTGACTAGAGCCTGTATGCCTGTTTCAGAGACATTTAAACTCTTAAAGGATTTCTTATGATCTTCACTAAATACATTAAGAAGAATGCCAACCAGCGCCCTTTCGTGTACTGGGACAGGTAGTCATGTGATTAAAACAGGGAACACGAACTCTGACTTTAAAATGTATTGTAGATACAAATGCTCTAAGCTAGGAAAGGTTTTTCACACCCACAGCCAATGATGGCAGCCTTTCATTCCTCGGAAATAAGCCCTTTTTAGGTCATTGAAAAAGAGTGCAACTGCTGCAGCTCACGATGCAATATCTTCATGAGCCCAGAGCACATACAAATCCAAAGGGAACTGCCACAGTACACTGCTCATTCTTGGCACCGGAACAGATGAAACACACTGTATCCTGCACATACCTGCCAGAGCAGGCCACTTTCCTCTTCTGTGAGATTTAGAAAGCTCCCCCAAAAGGTTATCACTCCCATCACCAATACACAGAAAATGGAGGAAAGGCTGTTTCCAGTTCTCGGCCTTTAAACAGCTCTAAATGTCAGTACTCACAGTGGCATATTACAAAGTAATAAACAGTGCACACTTGAGGGCAAACCGCATATTGAGCTATAGAAGAGCTCACTGTGATTAAGATGAGATCAAACATCATAGCAGAACATTAGCAAATTTTATCTGAATTCTGTAATGGACATCCATGCTGCAATAACATTAGAAAAGCACGGGAGCCTATTCCAAACCAGCGAGAACAGTTTTGTGCAAAGAGTGGGTCTTTGTGTGTTTGAACTCCCACCACGTAAGGGCAAACTCGATATGCATGCTAATGACCTACAATTATGAAATGAAAAAAGAAAAATGCTGAAGGATGCCAGAGTGAACATCAGTGAGAGCCACAGAGACCCACTCTCTTTTAACTTTTTACAAATAAACTTAAACTATAAATTAGAAACACAAATAATCATGAGTAGCTCTAACATTCAAATGAAGTAAATGAATTGTGTAGGAGATTAACCCCATAACTTTGTTTCGTTTTTAAAAATTTCTTGAGCAGCTCTTTGATGATGGTGGTGTTTATCTCCTTCTTCTCGGCAGCCAAGCCCAGCAAAAGCATGGCACACAGCAGTTGCTGCCCAAGCCTGGGTGCTCCTGGTGGTCCTGCATCTCACCAAGGAGCTGCACGATTGGCTGTGCAGTAGGGTTGTCCTGGGAAGAACCCTCCCTGGCTTCTCCTTGTGCAGGCTCCACGCTGTTGGTGAGGCTCGCCTCACAAAGATCTTTGGAGAGAGAGAGGCGGGGATCTGAGTGGAGTGCTAGCCGCCCCCCGCTCCTGCCTGCTCACCCCGCCTGGGGGCTCTACTCACCACCATGCTTGTCGGCAGCCCCGAGCTCCTGGGGGGCTGGGGCTCCTGGACTGGGTTCAGCAGCAGGGTTCTGGGCAGCGGCCAGGAATTTGCCGTGCCCCTCGTTGTAGCTGCCACAAGCCGCAACACCATCTCCTGCAGCTCCAGCAGCTTCACCTGAAGGGACGGGTGCTCAGCTGTCAGGCCGCTGCTGGCGCCCACCCTCATGCCCACCCCACCCACACCCCCACCCCACCCCCACCCCCACAGGGATGTTGCACACCCTACCTTCCTCTCCTCCTTGTCCTGGGCCAGCCTGATGATGGCCTCCTCCCGGTGACGCATCTTTGGCACTGTCCCCTGGCTCTGTTAGAAGGCGATGTACGTTCCTGCGGGAGGACAGGGCTCAGACGCTGGGGCCCCTCCCACAGCCCTGCAGCTCCCCGTGCCGTGCCCTGGCCTCCCACTCACTGATGGCATCTCTCTCTCCGGTACTGGATGAATCCAAGTTCCAGTTTCTCCACATGCTCCCTCAGGTCCGCCTTCTCCTCCAGGAGGTCCATAAGGCCGCTCT
Source organism: Homo sapiens (assembly GCF_000001405.40). Classification (NCBI taxonomy): domain Eukaryota; kingdom Metazoa; phylum Chordata; class Mammalia; order Primates; family Hominidae; genus Homo; species Homo sapiens. The sequence continues at coordinate 128,357 of NW_025791798.1, forward strand.
GGAGCCAAAATAATGGGGTCACATCTCAGCAGCGACCTGCCCCAGCCCTGCCCTTCTTGGCCCATGCTAGGACTCACTCCCCTCCAGCTTCTCCATGACTTCCTGCAGGGCCCGGAGGGTCTCCCCACTCACAGACTCGCCCCCAGTCCCTGAGGCTGGGACTGCTGCCTCTGGCTCCTTCTCGGCCGAGGTGAGCGTCTCCATCACCTGGCCCAGCTTCTCCTGCAGCTCCTTTACTTGCTGCTCCAACTGCAGTGCGCTCTTGTTCTCGTGCTTCTGGACAGAGAGAAGCAATCAGCAGCCACCCACTGCAGCTGGAGACCCCAGAACTTGGTGTCTGCCTCCCATGGCACTGGGAAGGGTGGAGCCAAGTTAGAAAAATACTCTCCTCTCTCCCACAGCCACCAGAGCAAAGCTCTGGCTCACAGGTGCCTTTGGAAGTAATATTTCATGTGAGGGCTACATTGCCCCATTTTACAGGTGGGGAAACAAAGGCCTGGAGGGCTAGGGAGGAGGGCAGGCTCCCCAGGTGGGGCAACCCACCAGCTCCTCCAAGTCGCTCTGTGGCTCGGCCAGCTGCTGAAGCCTCTTCTCCCGTTCCCGAAGCCTCTCCTGCTGCTCCTGAAGCCTCTCCTCCTGCTCGCGAAGCCTCTCCTTTTGCCCACGGTTCAGGAGACTGATGCACTGATTGTTTTCCACCTGAGCCTGGAGCTCTCCTGCCACTCTCTCCAGCTCCTTCCTCAGGTCTTGCAGCTCCACCTCAGAGGACACTGCTGGGGCATCCGGGGGCAGTGGCTCAGCTGAGAAAGGAAGCAGATCATAAGGGCCTCTGGATTCTCAAAACAAAAATCAAAACAGAAAAAACAACAAAACACCCTCCTGTTGGCGCACAGCTCCTCTCAGGCTCCCAAACTTGGCCTCACTGCTAACGATCCCTCGCACCCGGATGGTAGCCAGTCTTCCAAACCACTTTCAGACAGAGAGCACTGCGGGTGGCTGACAACGGGCCCTCTTTGCTCATGGGGACACTGAGGCTCAGGGAGATGACAAGACTTGTCTCCTGGCACAGACCTCTTACCCTCTGCCTCAAAGCCCTGCCATCCACCCACCTCCCTGGGGCATTCTAAGCCACCCCCACAGCCCTCTGATGCCAGTCCTGCTCCCAGGTCATGCCAGCCCCATCTTACCCATCTGGTTTTTGAGTCTGGACAAGCTCCTCTCCAGCTCCTCTACCCGATGCGTATCATGCTTCTTCTCCTCCTTCAATGTGCAAACCTGCCCAAAGCACAGGGGGAAAGGGCCCTGGAGAGAGGGGCTGGTGGCTGGACAGGCTCCCATCTCCCTCTCTGCCCCCACCTCCACAAAGCCCAGACCCAGGACCACCTCTGGCTGCACTATTCCCATTTTAAAGAGGCCCAGAAAGATCCAGTGACCTATCTTAAGTTGTTGGGGGGGGGTTTGTGGGGCGGGAGGCTGAAGGGTCAGATCTCACCTCCTGCGACATTTTCCTCATCCTCTGCTGCCACTGGGCCCTCTCTCCTTTTATTTGTTCAGCATATTGATCTCTCTCCAGCTGGACTTCTTTAAGCGACTCCTTCAACTGCAAGAATGGCCACACAAGTTAGGAAGGGCCGTCACTGGTCCTCACCTGCTCCTGGCCACCTGGGGTCATCTTCCTTCCACATCCCTCCCTCTGCAAAACCTCACCTGTGTCACGTGTCCTTTCAGCAGTATCTGCTCCCGTATGGACTGCTCTAACTGCCGCTTGAGAAGTGCTTTACTGCGGCTCGAGAACTGGATGGTGAAGAGTGAGAAGTTTCGATCTGGGGAGCCTGGGCCATTCCACACAGTGCCCCTTAAAAGGGCTAGGGCTAGGCTCAATATACAACTCGGTCAGTAAAGATCAAGGCATTTCCAAGCCCGTGGTCTGGTTTTGAAAAAAACTCAGTGAAGTTGGAAGGGACAAGGAGAGAGATCAGATAATATTGCTATTGTTATTACTCCCACTGTTTGAACCTTTGTGGAGTGCTTCAGCAGGTACCTTGCTAGCAATCCCATTTAATCCTCGCAACCACCAGAGGAGACAGTTACTATGATGCCCTCTCTTGGGTAGATGAAAAAACATGGAGTGTTTGAGGTTAAGTGCTTGCCTAAGATCACTTAGGCAGAGCTAGGATTTGAACACCCAGGTCTATCAGATTCTCTAAGCCCATTTTTCTGCTGGGGGTGGGGGCACGGTTAGGAAGGGGAAAATTAATCTTTTGTTCACTTTTTGAAAAGATGATACATTCACATAGTCCAAAACTCGGAAGGTATCAAAGGGAAGTATCTCCCAGCCACCCTGCTGCTCTCTCCTGAGTTGTTTACGAACACTTGCAGACATGTTTTATGTATATTATCATACTATGTACACACACACACACACACACACGTTTCCTCTCTCTACAGAAATGGGAACATACTAAAGGTACCCTTCTGTACCTTCACAGTACAAGTACCCAATACCCCACACCCCACCTAGGACTTGGCCAAGACCACAGCCAGGTAAGGGCAGGGCAGGCACTTGGCCTCCAAGCTCTGCATCCAGTGCTCGCTCCCCACCGCGCCCCCCAACTCACCCACAGCAGCTGACTCAGCCTCAGGCTGCCTCTAACAACCATACACAAAAGCAGTGAGAAATGGCCATGCTGCCTTCTGGGCAGGACACTCCATCCTGCAGAAGGGACCTTTAGGCTCACTCCTCCATCTGTGAAGCCGGGCTCCCAGGGGACAGGGCAGGTGACTGGACTCACCCCATCCGGCTTCTTCTTCTGTGTGGCGGCGACAGCACAGAGAGACCACTCTAACTCTCCTATACGCTGCGATGAACGTTGCAGGCGGCCGGCCAGATCCTTGGACTCTTCTGTAATGACAGAGTTGACATGGGGCTCAAAGGACTCCGCCTTACAGACCTGTCAAAGTGCCAGGTTGAAGGATGACAGGGTGCCCAGATTCCCACCTTCAAAGTATCTGAGAGAATGTTTCATGTGATACAGGTCCGTATTTAGTTTCTTTTTCTCTGTGTTCAATCTCTGGATTTGACCCTTTGGGAGAAAAGCCAAGCAAGTGCTGAAATAGAAGGAAAGAAACATTCTCCGGAGGACAGGAGGAAACTTCACACCCTCCACTCACCTCTAGCTCCCTTTCAGCTTTCTGTTTCTCATTGTTTGCTTTCTTTTCCTATAGGAAGAGGAAGACAGAGCTCTTACCAGGGGGAGGCAGAGAAGGCACAGCAAGAGATATGCCCCCAGAATGCCACCAATGCCCCAGGACAGGCCCACCCATGGGACCAGGTTATCAGGGACCCTGTGGGGATGGGGTGGAATCTGAGGGGTGAGCCTCCTTCCCCAGGCTGGGAGTGGGTGAGACGAGACTGGGGCCTCTACATCTGAGTGTCCCCCAAACCCAGCAGTCATGTCGCCAGCAAACAAAGAAATCACGTTACTTCTTCCAGCTGATGTTCCACTTGTTTCTTCTGTTGTTTCTGTGGGGAGAGTCAAATTAAAGTGATGGAGGGTGGCCCCCTCAACTCTATTCCCCAGACAGGAAGCGGCAGGCAGGGGCCAGGAATGGATTTTAAAGGCAAAGTTCTCAGACCCAATGGGAACAGGAACTGTTCCCAAGCTCCCAAGGACAGAGGATTTGGGTCTTTGTTGGTTTTCAGCCACAGCCTCACAACTCAAAGTCTGAATCAGGAATCTCTTGAGAGGACAGTAACATAAACCTCTAGAGATGGAGTTTGAGAAAGGCTCCCCCTTCTGCCAGCTTGTGATTTAGAAAAGTGTGTTCATTCAATAGACATTTACTGAGCACGTACGGGCCAGGGATGGTTCTTCACAGCCGATATAGGATGGAAAAGAACAGACAAGAGCCCTTGGCCCTGAGCTTTCCATTCTAGGGGGCCTTTAAATCTCAGACTCTCAGAGCTAACACAGACCTTTGATACTCACTACCTCCTCTGGAAACACGAGCCCAAAAAGGAGAGGTGGCTTGTCCAGAATCAAAGAGCAAATTAGGGACTGAGTCATGGCAGAAATACGGGGCCCCTGACAACCAGTCAGGCCAGCACTTCCCCAAGAGGCAACAACCCCAGGGCGTGTGTAGCAAGGACTCGAGTAGGGGTGCCTGGAGAGGAGAGAGTCGGCAAAGAGGGCAGCAAAAGAAGAGCCATGCTGCATGCTCTGGGGTCCCGCCAGGTGAGGCCTGGGCGCCCCAGCTCCCTATCTGCCCTTGGCACCAGGGGCCCCCAGCCCCCTTCTTCAGGGCCCCAAGAGGAAACCGGAGCCCAGGATTGGCAGCGTGGAATCAGGGAACCCCACTGGACTCTTACCAAAGATTTGATGGTGTCATTCAGTCGACTGATTTTTATGGACCTCGAGTTCAGGACTGCTGCTTGTTCTTGGCACGGGCTCTGACGCGCATGCAGAGAGGAGGAGGCGGAGGAGGACTTGGGGGAGAGGTAGAGAGAACGATCATTAGGGCTGGGTTGTGTGTGGGCTGTCTCAGCTGGCAGAGGGGCACCCAGTCCCCGCTGCGGGAGGAGGTTGGAGGGCTGGCCTGCGGGGTCACTGCACCTCCGCCCAGAGCCTCCTACCTCCAGATCCTTCAGGGTAGCAGATGATGTAGGGCCCTCCCCGTGGATACCTGTTGCTGACTATAAGAGATGAGACTGCACATGGAGATGTTCTGTCCCCCTCAGTGTCTGAGCCCTCCGACTTCCTTTCTTCCCCATCAACTGGCAACATTTTCTTTTCTGCCTATCTTGGACCCTTTGTCCCATAACTCCTTTGTGCCAACTTCTCTCACGGTTCTTATCTCCCCACCATCCCACCCTGGGGGCCTTGCAGTGACTCCTGATGGGAAGTGGCTGTTCTCATTGTCCTGGCTTCCCCTTGAGACTGGGGATGAGGAAAATCAAACAGCAAAGACCATATCCTGGGTGTCCTGGGTGTTGACAGCAGGCCATGTACTAGGGATTAACATAAAATCGACAATTATCAATCTCATTGAAACTTCACAAATACAAGTCAAACAATACCACCTCTATCATACAGACGTGAAAACAGAGGCCCAAAGAGCTCAAGCAACTTGCCCTAAATCATATCCCTAGCAGACGGAGAGGCAGGATTCAAACCCAGAATTCTTTTCTTTTTTGAAACGGAGTCTCTCTCTGCCTTCCAGGCTGGAGTGCAGTGGCGTGATCTTGGCTCACTGCAAGCTCCGCCTCCTAGGTTCACGCCATTCTCCTCCCTCAGACTCCGGAGCAGCTGGGACTGCAGGCGCCCGCCACCACGCCCGGCTTTTTTTTTTGTATTTTTTAGTATTTCACCGTGTTTGCCTGGATGGTCTCGATCTCCTGACCTTGTGATCCACCTGCCTCGGTCTCCCGAAGTGTGGGGATTACAGGCGTGAGCCACTGTGCCCGGCCAAATCCAGAATCCTTCACCAGTACCCAACAGTCCATCCACAATCTTAACGATTGCCCTCTACTGCTCCTTGGGCCCCCTGTCCCCAAAAGCCTGTCCAGGCAAGACTCACAGCTTCAGATGAGTGGCAACCACCAGAAGCGGCCGTCTCAGGGCTACTGCCATTTGCTTTCGTGTTCCTCTTCGCTGCTGCTGGAACACCAGGGCGGTTTCTCTGCCAATATTCTTTGAACTGTGGGAAAGAAGAGCAGTAATACTCATGAGAACTATCAGCCCCTACAGCCACATCCTCCTTTATAGTTTTTATAAAATACTCTTATATACCATCTGATTTAATGACACCAACAACTCTATAAGGTGTCACAATCATTTAGGGACTGAGAGGGATCGACATCATGGCTAGAAAAAAAGAAAAAAGAAAAAAGCGATACTGGAACTTGGAAACTCAGTCTTCCCACTCTAAGCTCTGGGGTTTTGCCAGGCACCAAACCCAGAGGCAGAGGTAGAAAAGTAAACATTAAGTAGGCAGGAGCTGTATGTCATGTGGTTTAGAGTCGTACATCTTCACACGTCTGTTATTGGGAAGAAGTGCACCAGTACCTCTCAAACTTTTATATCAATGTGTCCTCATGGCAGAAGGCAGCCTTTCTGTGAAATCTGGGAATTTATCAGAAAGAGGACAACCCAAGCCTCATTTCAGAGAGAAGTCTGGTATACTCTTAGAAACCTATGGGACTGCCATCCCTAAGTACATTCATGTTTTTTCTCTTATCTCAAGATATCTCAAGAGAATCAAAGGAAACTGATGCTTCAGAAAGATGTCCCACATTTATCCTGTGGTACTCAAAGCACCCCAGCTTGAGATAATATGAGGAAGATTCAAACTGTCAAGTTCAGTCTCCCAAGATCTATTCCACAGAAGATGAGGAAATCTCACTTCAGAGACCACTGACTGAAGGTCCCAGACTGAAGTCTGGTCCCAGAACCATGGAGAATTAGAATATGAGGTGGAGAACTCGGAAAAAAATGTTAAAATCTCTTTGGAAAGTAGAAGCTTGGGAGAAAAACCAAACCAAACCCATTCTCCCATCGCCACCCAGAGACACTGTCAACGTTTTGAGCTCACGGGGGAAGTGTAGGCTTTTCCCACTGTCAATGTCTATGGTAAGGGAGTAAGGCAGCCTGAAACCTCTTGCTCCCAGGTCCCATAGTCTCCATTTCCCTTCCAGCTGGAAATTTCTGCTGTGACCAGAAGAACCAGAAACGGGGTGACAACGTTTAGGGGACTGGGTCATAAGACCAGGGCCAGTCTTCCAGTAATGACAGTTAGTAGGCAGACTGTGACATCACTACATTCCACTCCTCCTAGTGCGGGGGAGGGACCACATCAGCGCGATGTCCGAGTCTCCACTCCACAACGCGGGAGGGAAACACAGGGTTGTGACCCAGGTCCTTGGAGACGCCAGCACAAAGAGCTCAGGGAGGTCGACCTTGAGGCAGCAGGAGGGGAGGGCAGAGTCTGCAGCAGGGAGCCCCAGGAGTCACCAGCCCAAAGTCACCCAGGGACAACTGGAGAGGGCGGGGCCTGGGGCTGGGGGGCCCAGGTCCTTGGATATGCGAGCCCAAAGAGCCCAGGGAGGTCCAACTTGGGGCGGCAAGAGGTGAGGGCCCAGTAATGGAGTGGGGCGCCCCAGGAGTCACCCGCCCAACGTCACCCCGGGGTGATCGGCGAGGGCAGGGACTGAGCTGTTTGCTGAAGGGGCAGGGCTGACTGACAAGACTTTTGTAGGGGGAGCCCAGAAGCGCCGGGGTTGGGGGGCAAAGTCCGGTGTGCGTCAGGAGTAGTATGGACTGTGGCAGCGGTCTTGTCGTCGGAGGGGATCTGTGGCTGGGTTAGCGGGCCATGACCCGGTACGTCTTTACCTTTTTCTTGGCTGCAGCTAATTTACTCTGTCCAGTTTCTTCTGCCATTGTGGGGTGGGGAGGGAGGCGGGGCTGGGGCCACGTCAGCCAAATCCCAGCGAGCGCTGATCAACACGTCCAGTCACCTGGAAGACAGCTGCGTAACTGACCCAGAGGCAGCGTAACCAGGGCCACAGTAGAATGCAGAATAGGGGCGTGGCCTTAATGCTTCAAGCCCATTGGTCAACGAGAAAGATGACAGGGAAAGGGGGCGTGGCCAGGCGGCAGTGTGTCCAGAGGGACCTGTGGCTCATCAGGAAAGCTGCCCATGCAACCGCTGTCCCCACCCACTCTGAGAGAGGGGAGGGGCCGCCCGCTCTGGGAGAGTGGAGGGGCTGGCTTTTGCTTTAAAACCCTTAAAACTTTAAAAATCATATGTGTGTATACTTTATATATATGTGTGTGTCTCTCTGTGTGTATCCATGTGTTCCTCCAGAGCTGTCTTCATTAACCAGCTTCTATGCAAGGTCTGTCATTTTGGCCTATATTTTTCATCTTCAAATACTGTATAAAAATTACCAGTATTACCTGAACTGAGATACAGATCCTATAAAAGTGGGAAATCCACAGCATGCTTGATGATTAATGAAGCAGACTATATTATCCAACATTCCAATGAGATAAAATAATCAAAATGATTTCTTTTTTGGAAAAATGTTTCTCTTATTCTCCTACATTGTTGCTGTTTTTTCTTTTTAAACAGGAAACATGGTTAATATCCGTAAAAACACAAAGCTTTTGGGCTGGGTGCGGTGGCTCACACCTGTAATCCCAGCACTTTGGGGAGCCCGAGTCTGGTGGATCACCTGAGGTCAGGTAGTGGAAGTGTGAGCCATCACACCCGGCCGGCTTCATTTCAGAACTCTTTCCCCAGCACTCCATATACTATGAATAATTCCTTTCTTCTTCTTTGGATAGCATTTTAGTCATATCTCTATTACCCCACTTGTCACATGATAATCAGTGGCTCACCCATCCATCTCCCTTGATTGCTCATGAGCTCCTTGAGAAGAGTCTGATTTTCAGCACCTTGAACAGTGTGCCACACATACATGCTTCATACGCAGAGAAGGAAATGATTTCACTACAGTGTAATTATTCCCAGAATTCAATATCTGTATTTCTAAATTGTTCTAGATACTCTGCCAACAACCTGAGAATGTTATGTTTTTTCCCCAAAACTTCCATCCATTATTGTGTGTCTATGGTCATAGTTAACTCAATTGTGACGTCACCTTTGGACAAGCCCATTAACAGTTTCTTTTTTTTTAGGTGATTTTTAATTTTAATTTTTGATTTTGATTGTTTCTTTTCTGTTTTTTAAATCTAGCAGTGTTTGGTAAACTTCAACATCTCTATATCCCCGTGTCTTTGCCCCGCTGGTCTCTGCTTGGAATAATGTCTCAAGGTTTTAGTCACCTGGAAAAAATTTCTACTCACCCTTAAAGAATCAGAAATAAATAGGCTGGGCATGGTGGCTCATGACTGTAATCCCAGCACTTTCGGGAGGCCAAAGTGGGCGGATCACCTGAGGTCAGTAGTTCCAAGACTAGCCTGCCCAACATGGTGAAACCCCGTCTCTACTAAAAATACAAAAAATAGCTGAGCATGGTGGCAGAGGCCTGTAATCTCAGCTACTCGGGTGGCTGAGGCAGGATAATTGCTTGAACCTGGGAGGCAGAGGTTGCAGTGAGCTGAGATCGTGCCATTGCACTCCATCTTGGGTGACAGAGTGAGACATCATCTGAAAAAAAAAAAGAAAAAGAAAAAGAAAAGCTTAAATAATACCTTCTCTGAGAAGCCTTTATATCTTCCTATTCTTTCAGGAAGTGTTGAAAATTCCTCAACTTTTGAAACATTTGTGCCTCTATTACTGTGTATCAGGCAGTGAACTGAGTGCCCAGGATAGAAAGATGAAACTGTACATCCTGCCCTTACGGAGCTCATGGTCTAGTATGGAAAACAGCCATATGAACAAATAACCACACTATAGGTCTTCAGAGCTCAAGTCCTATCCTAAATACTGTGAAATTAATGTTCTGTGAGGTTTTGAAAGTACTAGGGCCAGAGACAATATGGCTGCTTGGATGACTTTCCATCCAAGTTAACATTCGGCCCTCATCACAAAGGGAATACATGCGTGCATCTTCCTTGCAACCCACCAGTGCCTAACACATCATATCACCACTTTTGAAATCAGGAAACAGGCTCAGAAGTCCAAGAGCTTGACCAAAGTAACTCAGCTGGTAGGTAGCAGAGCCAGGTCAGTATGATTCTTCTTCAATATCCTGCCAGCCACATGGGCAAGTGGCCTCAAAATCAACAAAAGACAGGTAGAGGTTGACATGCATCAATGGAGAGAGGCTCAAAAGGAGGATTTTATACACAAGAATAGAACAGAAATGTTCTGGAAGTATATCTGTGGATGTGAAGCAGGAGGGGGCACACCAGGTTTCACCTTGGTCAAGTGAATCTATAATTCCAACCGGGGCCTCGCCGCCCCCCACCCCCCCGAGCTCCAGACTTAGCTATCTGTCTTTCTTACTCTAATATAAAATCCACAGGGCAGGACCTTAATCTCTAGCTTGTTCACACAGATTAAAGCAGAGTCTGGCTTATAATAAGGACTTAATAAATACATGAATGAATAAATAAACTATCAAAGAAGCTAAAGAAACATTCCACATTCTTGCGGGAAGGGATTACCATGAAACAGACCCTAGCAGTCACTTACAAATACAGTTGACCCTCATCATTGGAGTATCCCATATTTTCAAATTAGCTTACTTGCTAAAATGTCTAAGTCCCAAATTAATACTTGTGGCACTTTCAAGGTGGCTCCTGGATAGACATGCAGTAGTGAAAACTCTGTCACTCTTTGCACACGTCCCAAGCTAAGGTCAAACAGTGACCTTGGTCTGCTTGTTTCAACTCTCATACAAAGATGACCTGAGGACAGAGACAGTAGAGGACACTGCAGGGTAGCGCAAGAAGCTGTGGCTCTGGGGCCAGTTGGGCGGGGTCTGAATCATAACACTGGCACCTGTTAGTGGAGTGGCCTCAGACAAATCACTTACAATTCTGTACTTCCTTTATTCTTTTGGAAAGAAAGAAAATTCAATCTACCAGGATGAGTTGTTTTTAGGAATTAAGATGATAACCTATATGACATATGTATTTATGTACATATTTACCCTGGAAACAAGGGTTTGCTATTTGATTAATTCAGTGTTCCAGGCAACTTTGTAGAATATTACTCCTGCAAATAGTAAGAATTGGCTGTAATTAAAGAAATAACAGAGATGTAGACAAAACAATTATTTGGGTGAGCTACAGGCAGCCTTCAAGAAGCTTCTGAAGAAACAGAACTTCAGCAGGCACTTAAGCTGTAGAAAAGGCTTGCAAGGAGATAGAACAGCACCTACAGAGAGAGGTCCAGGTGGGGTCAGGAAATGGCATTTCAGGAAGTCTAGAGCAGTAGAAGATGAGGCCAGAACACGGCGCCACAGTGCTGCTCTGCACCCTCTATACACCCTGTACTGCAGAACCTCACTCTCTGCATTTAGTTCTTGGTTTCTAATTCTCTCTTCCATTAAACTGTGAGCCCCTCAAGGTCAAGGTCTCTAAGAAGAAACCATAGCTACAGTCCTCTAAATTTGAAAACAAGTTATTAAACACAGATACACCCAAGAAGACCGTACAAAAATAATGTTGGATTTCAATTGCAGTCATAGAAATTCACAACTGGTATACATTTGCAATCTGTCCAGGATTTTTCTCTGATGACTGCCGTAACTCTGTCATAAACCCTTTTCATTATTTGAGACACCGAGACATTTGTTAGAATGTTTGGGAAAGACATTCTAAAAGGGCAAGAAAGACCTTGATCTTTTTTGTGTAACTGATTGACTGGTTGACTGACTGAGATGGGATCTCATTATGTAGCCCAGGCTGGTCTGAAACTCCTAGGTTCAAGCGATACTCCTGCCTCAGCCTCTCTAGTGGCTGAGATTACAGGCGCACGCCACCATGCTGGGCTCTAGTGTGATGTATTTACGAGGCTTAAACATATGGTTCATTACACAAGGCTGGCACCTCAGAGTAAAGATTTTTTAAAGTTCACTCTAATAGACTTATTTCTCTATATGCAAGATACAATTTTACCACAGTAAAACACAAGGAAGCATACTGATATACATATATGTTACAACAGGATAAAAAAAAGCAATATAATTTTCTCCACAAAAGCTTGCAAAATCCTGGCCAAAACACAGTAAAGAGGATGTTAATCTCACAGCTCACGTTTCTCCACTGAGACCCAGGAAAAACAATGCCAGTTTTTGTACAGTCACAAAACTAAGCACTGTGAGAATTTACAAGATTTGGTTAACTTGTATATTCTCCCCACCCTGACAGACAAGTCCCAAAGGAGCCTAGCAGTTTTACCCCAACATTTCAATCTCCTCCAACCTCCAAAATAAAACCCTCACTGTCCAATATCTCAATTTATATTTTCAAACGTCTAAAATCTTAATCGAAACAAAGAGCAGTGCATTAGCTTTGCCGCCATAGAATGCTTGGTATAATTTTACTTAGGCACATCACAGATTGTGCTATTGCCTAAAAACATATGGGTAGAACCAACATTCCTAGAAACCAAACGCATATATTACGAAGGTGAAAGGGAATAGGGAGTGTTGTTTTTAAACAGATAGAACGCTGTGATTGTCCACTCATAGGTTAGGTGTGATCAAATCACATCGTGCTGTACAGCTAAGTATGTCCTATATTGTATGACAAAGTAGGGTAACACATTATTTATTGAGGACCTGTTGGGTACACAGAGGCACACCACAAGCTGTAAAAGACTTCATTCTTGCCCTCAAGAAACTTCCAAGTTTCTAGACAGCCTGATAGAAGGTAGTCGAAAGCAAATACTTCAAGCACTAGCCATCACAATTACCTTAGGTATTTACGCTACCCTTCTACGAGTCTCTGAATATTTCGAGGCCCCCTTTCCTATTTCCCATGGGCTCTATGGCTCAACATTCTTTACAGCCACAGGCTTTCCTGGACTTTACGTTATTATTGAATCAACATTGCTCACTATCCGCCTCCTTTGCCAATTAAAATTCCACTTTACATCCAACCACCACTTTGGCTTTGAAGCCACTGCCTGATACTGACGCTCTGTCGATGTACAATGACTATTCTTACACGTCTCTGTCTACTGAGGAGGATCCTACTCTTTTAACAGAAACAGTGCCATTGACTTCCAATCAACTAGTTTCCATAATATCCAAAATATTAGATAATATTCCATTATACTCCCAAAACAAATAATGAGTGATGTTCTCTCAAATACACGTATAATCAAATGTGACATTGAGAAGATGGGGCGACCTTTGACTCAGAGATTGTATTCAGGCCTTTGTAGATGCATTTATTTGACATAATTATGCATTTAAAGCATAAGTTAAATTGTCATCAGCCTGAAATTATAGGGGCTTTTGTTGGTGAGAAACCTATTTTATATATAATCGTTTACCCATAGAAATGTTTTTGATTAATGTTATCTGTTAAAGACTTCAGTTCACAATATTTCCCCTGTTAATACTATATATGTTTTTGGAGTTGATCTGGAGAATTTGAGGACCACGTTCTAATCGCTATCTGATGCTATTCTGGGAGGACAATTCATTGCCTTTGGGTTGCTGGGGGTTGGAACTTGAAGGCGGGTCTGAGTCTGGAGACCTTGCCACTGACTTTTGGAAAGTCTGTTGATTCTACCTTTGGAAGTGCCTTTACATGCCTTATGGAAGGCCGGGCATGGTGGCTCACGCCTGTAATCCCAGCACCTCGGGATTATTGATGAATAAATCAATTTGGGAAATGCTTGGTAAATTCAACGGGACCTCTCAGAACAATGAATTTATATGGCCACGATGTTGTTTTCTGGTTTGTTTGTTTTTTTGTTTTTGTTTTTTTTGCAAAGAGCATTCGGAAGACTTTCTAGTACACCAGTTTGGGAACTGTTGGTGGAGGAGTCAGGGTAATTAGGCTTTGGACTATTCCAGGTACAGGTTGTCACTGTATTCAAGGAATTGTTCTTAGTCTTTGTATATATCCGAATTAACTATAGCAAATTAACAAGCAGAAATATAAGAATTGGGCCTTGGAGGGAGGGAGAGGGCGAGAGAGAGGGGTAGATAGAAGTTTCCTATTTTAACTATGGTTCAATTCTAAGCATTCTAAAATTTCATTGGATTCTTTTAACTATGAATTACAAGGGTGTTTAATTTCCAAGTTCATGAAGCCTTTGGTTAATCTCTTCATTATTAACTTCTAACCTTAACTGCTTCATATTTAAATTATCAATTTTATGGTGTGGATTGTACCAATTGTTTTTCAATCTTCTGACGTGCTTAATGGATTAATACATAATTAATGTTTCTCCCACAGTCCACATATGCTTGAGAAGAATACAGAATATCTGATTATTGGGTACAGAGGTCTATATTTGTCCATTACATCACGTCCATTCACGGGTTATTCAAATCTATATATGGGCATTCTGTGTAACTTACTTATGGTAAGCAGGGTATGTTGAAATCTCCAAATACAATGGCAGACTCGTCAATTTCTCCCTGTGGTTTTATCAGTTTTTCCTCTGTATTTTGAGTCTATTTTGATAGGTACATAAAATATGAAAATTGCTACATCCTCCTAATTAACAGTCAGTTGGCATCAAGCTGTTACTAATGCTTTGTGTTCCAACATCCTATCTTGTTTGAAACTGAAGCTCCATCAGTTGTTTTGGTTAATGTATACCGGCATATCTTTCTCTCTCTCTCTCCTTTATAAAAACTTTCAATCTTTTCACATCCTCATAGTTTCAATAAGATGGATTAGAACAGCTGGATATCGTTTTATTAGTTCCATCTGTCTAACTGGTAACTTTAGTCCATTTACAGTTGTTGTGACTCATTTATGTGGACTTCCTTCTGTCACCTTTAGAACTTCCATTTCTCTCACTTTCCAATATAATTTTAATATCTCCTCCTGGGATTCCACTAAGACGTATTTTAGACCTCATTCTGATCTCCCTCTCCCCGCCAACCCCACCAACTTCTGCCCTGTCATTTATCCTCATATCTCTCTGTGTAACATATGGACTTACTTTTTGGAGATAATGGTCTAACCAATTAATCCTTTCTTCTGGTGTCTAATCCATCCACTCGGTTTCTTATTTCAACAATTCCATTTTATATTTCCTTATTTCATTTTATTCTGAGACAGAGTCTCACTCTGTCACCCAGGCTGGACTGTAGTGGCACGAACCTGCAGCCCTGGCCTCCTGGGCTCAAGTGATCCTCCCACCTCAGCCTCCTGATTAGCTGGGAGTATAGGCAGGTAGGTGCCCCATACACAGCTTTTTTCTTCTTCTTCTTTTTTTTTTGGTGGTGGTGGGGTATTTTTTGGAGAAACGAGTTCTCACCATGCTGCCCAGGCTTGTCTCCAACTCCTGGGCTTATGCCATCCTCCCGCCTCAGCCTCTCAAAAAGTGCTGAGATTACAGGTGTGAGACACCATACCCAGCTATATATTTTATTTCTGTAAGTTCTATTTCATCCATTTTCCTTTCAGGTCTTCCTCATCATTCCTGGTGGTCTTACTGCTCCTGCTCGCTCAATTTTATGAGTCCATCTTTTTCTTATATAATACATTTATTTCACATGTAACTATTTTCTCACAATTCTAATATTTGAAGTCTGTATTCTGTATCTGATAATTCCAAAACCTACAGTCTTTGGGAAACATTCATTGTTTCTGATAATTCTCAAATATATTGGGTTCACTACTTGAATGCTATGATTTCACTGAATTCATAGTTGCCTGCTTTTAATCTTTGGGAATCCTACAGGCTTAAGTTAGAGATGGTTTCCTAGAAAAAGTATCTGTGCGTGCTTCTGATGAGAGCTGTGGGGACAACTAACAAGAGACCCCTTTACCACCGTCCGTAATCCTGATATTCTCTTGGATTCTCCTGGAGAATGTCAGGATTACACAAGGTTCTCAAATTTGGCTCCCCAACCTTGCTCATTTATATACAGAAGACTAGACTGCTTAGTATAGGTGATGACTCACTTCCTCCTACCCTGGAAAAAACAAAACAGATCTCTCATCTGAATGTGATCACAGACTAGGAAATTCTGAAGGTGAATAACTGGAGGCTGTAGGCAGCAGGGAAAGACAGGTGTCTTTCCTGACCATAGAAATAGGTCACAAGCTGCCCTAAAGGCTGTGTGCTCCACCAGGATTTCACTATTTAGCTCAACCAGCAGTCCCTCTGTAAGAGTGAACGGAAGCTTCTTAGAGCACCACGCTGCCTTTAAACCACAAATTCTTGCTAAAAGTCATGGTCATGGTAAAAAACCTATGGCTTTGCAAGGCTTTCTTGGTAATGTCCTAGAATTAAGGTTAAGCCTGCGTTTCATGGTAACTGAACAGGAAACCAGCCTGACCAACATCCTTCTCCCCAATGGCTTGCTCTCAGCTCCTCTTGCTTGGGCCTTGGGCAGCCAGACGGTCTGGTTTTAATCCTTGCTCTGCCACCTGTGACCTTGGACAAGTTACCTACCTTCAGTTACCTCATCCACAAGATGCAGATATTAGTAATACCCTCTTTTTAAGTTATTAAGAGGATTGAAAGAGTTAATAAAAAGTAAAAAAAAGACTTGGTAGGCATAGGCACAGAGGCGGGAAAAAAGCAATAATAAAGAAATGATACTTCTATATTTTCTATAGATCATCTTTGTAACAAGAAGAAAACAAACCAAATGAAAATGAAACAAATTCTCTCAAAAAGAATTAAGTCAAGACAGGCAGAAGGCTCACAAAGTAATATAAAATGTATCTTATGGTTTATGGAAAATTCTTAATAAAATACCTTCTTTGCTCCAAGCTGCACTCTGGCTTTGCCTTTGAGTCACGTGGCATTTCTTTGTACGATGACCGGTTCTGTCGAGTAGGCACTGCTTCAGCCCTACAGGAAGGAAAAAACATCTCTAGAAAACAGCAGCATTCCTGATTCCCACTTGAGGAGGCCTAACAAAACGGCATATGCCTCAACAGCAGCACATCAGTGTTAAAAAGTCTGGAGTCAAGGGGAAAAAGTAAAATTGGACCATTTCCAGAATCTCACCAAAAACAACAAACGGATGTTGCAAGTGGCCTACATGAGCAAATTAGAACCTTAAATAAAGGTCACTCTTAATGCCTATCCCAGCATAGATGCAGCACCAAGTACAGTGTCATTTTACTGGGTTACCTTTTTCATTCTTGAAAGTAGGAGCTATGAAAAAAAAAAACACTAAAATTTCTTGAAGAGAACCTTCTACTTACAACCTAACTTACGTAATCGAAACACTCTATTGAGGGTGAAAATTGAGTATTATAAGAAAATAATCACCTGTTTTGTGAGAAGTTCAATACGTAATGCTCCTCCACACAATACATACCTTAGAAAGAAAAAAGGAAACATACAAAACTATCTCGAGAATTATTCCTGCTTAAACAATTTCTACATGCCATTACTAAGAAAGTATGCACACAGTAAACATTAGAAGAGAACATGCAAGCATGAACATACTTGTTAGGGATACAGGACTATGGGTAACTTAAAAACTCTGTTGGTATTACTCTCATGTAATTGCTCTGAAATTCTAGTCAACTATTTGCAATGGCTCTTAGAACAGAATACTTTGAATTTTTATGATATCAAAAACTAAGAACTTAGCCAAGTATTCCCAAGAATAGGAATAGTAAGCATACTTAGTAAGTATTCCAAAGAATAGGGGCAGAAGAACGCATTTCTTTAAAGCACTACCTCAGAATTCAATTTAGTAATTCCGATGCTGCCTGTAACATCAGAAAACAACTTCCTTAAAAACATAGCAAGTTGGATTTACCAAGTTGCTGACCAGGTCGCATTCCCTCCTGCCCTCAATCCCATCTTTGTGTTATACTTTATCTCCAGTACCATTTTGCTTAGTATTCATGGTGCTCAAGTTGTCACTGTGGACATCAGAGCCTATAAATATATATTGTTGTGGCTCCTTCCTGTACATCTTTCCAAGTCATACCTGCTATTCTCCAAAGTCTGTGAATCCCGACACTAATAACTTGGAAATTGTTTAAGGTCCTCTTCAGAAGGTCAGTTAGCTCAAGGCATCACATTTTTCTCAGGACTCTTAAGAAATACTCCAACCACAGAAAAAGGCCCTTCTTTCTGGTATCAGGAGCCATTGGCCACAAACACAAATCCAATAGAGTTTCAGCCATTTACCTCCCACATCGTCCCTTCCCTGAAGTTCTAGCTAAAGCAGGAAAAAATAATGAAAACACCACCTGCAGTCACGAATCCTCCAGTTTCCTGGCCAAGATTTCGTATTTCCTTCAAGATACCTCCCAAAGAGGACATGACGAGGGAGGGGCACACAGGGTGCTACAGGTACTGATAAGGTTTTATTTCTTTTATATATATGTATTTTTTGAGACGGAGTTTCTCTCGTCACCAAGGCTGGAGTGCAATGGCACAATCTCGGCCCACTGCAACCCCTGCCTCCTGGGTTCAAGTGATTCTCCCAGCTCAGCCTCCCACGAAGCGGGGGTTACATTACAGGCGCCCGCCACCATGCCTGGCTAATATTTTTGTATTTTTAGTAGAGAAGGGGTTTCACCATGTTGGCCAGCCTGCTCTTCAACTCCTGACCGCAGGTGATCTGCCTGCCTTGGCCTCCCAAAGTGCTAGGATTATAGGCATGAGCCACCACGCCCAGCCAAAGGTTCTATTTCTTAAGTTTGGTGTTGGGCATATGGATGTATGATTTAATGTTTTAAAAAAGGAAGATACCTTCCTAGTTTTTTTGTGTTTTGTTTTTTTTGTTTTAGGCCTGCGTGCTTTATTCGTTACCCCGTATGAATCCATAAAGAAGTAGCCATTAGCAAATTCAGGCAATACATACCGGATTCATACTTCAGGAAGACAACCCAGTTGACAACGACAACAGTTTCTATGATAACAAAAGTGAGAGAAAATACTGACATTAGGGTCATATCAAGAAAGTTCAATCATAAGATATATCCACAAGCAAAAATATACACACAAAAAGCTAAGTACGAAGCTTTTAGAAAACTACTACCATCCTTAGAGTAAGTACAAGAAAGTATTCTTTTATGTCTGTTTTTTTCATCAAAATACCGCATATAGCCATAGATTTTAAACCATTACATCTTATCTAGATTCCATTAACATTTCTTCTAGATCACTAACATTTCTTCTAGATTCCATCGTTATTCCTTTGTAACCTTTATTTTCAGTATCTTAAAAATACTTTATTAAATATAACACATACATTCAGAAAGTTACATAAAATATACCTGAAGGTATACCTTAACAAGTTATTGTAAATTATTTGCCCATGTAACCACCAACCTGGTCCTGAAATATATTCCAGCCAGTATCCAAGAAGCCCACAGATGTCCCTTTCAGGTCACACATCCCTACCTCCCACCTGGATGGACTCCTTCCCCTAACCTCTATGTGATCACCTCTTTGTTCTTAATAGTTTTACTGCCCAAGTATGAATCCAGAAATAAGTGTTTCTCTGTTTTCTTTTCACTTTTGTCCCCCTAAGAAGCCTTTTTAGAAGTTTTCTTCCTAATTCTATCCCCACTCCCCATGGAATTTTAACACCACAGATATACTGTATGTCGGTTTATGTTATACGGCCCTTTGGAGGGCAGCAGACCATTATAATAGGTAAGATTTTCTTTCACTCTAAGGACCAATTTTCACTCCACTGCAGGCGATATTGCCTCCACTAAGAATGTATGCCCTAACCAACATTAGTTTTCCCTATTGTTGAACTCTATATAGAGGAAATTGTACAAAATAGGTTTTGGGGCTCTGGTCTCTTTCGCTTAACATAGTGTTCAAGGTTCGTCCATCTTTCCCACATAGCTGTAAGCCATTTTATGAATACCACAATTCTTCATTTTCTTGGAATGAACACCTGGGTTACTTTCTGTTTGGGGTTATGATAAATGATGCTACTCTGAACATTCCGGTGTCTCCTGGTGCCTATGTACTCATTTCTTGTGGAGTATATATCCACAAGATTCCTGAACCATAGTGTATGAGTATCTTCCACTTTACCAAATTGTTTTCCAAAACACTTGTACAAATATACACTCCCATTAGAAAAACAGAGTCCCGTAACAATTTTATTACCTTAAAAGATAAGTTAAGCAAAGTATCTCCTATGCCTTCTTTTTCTTTTAAGATCTGAAGATCACTGTGCAAAGGACTAGCAGGGTCAACCCGAAGAATCACAAAACAAAAAACAGTTCAAACAAAAAGATATTTTTTTTTCAACTAACTCAAAAATGAACCAATCTGAAAGCTAAAATAGAGCACCTAGGCTAAGTTCAAGAAAGAGAAGATCTTAAGCTGCTCTATATCCTCAGGAAAAACAGAGGTCACTATAGCTTCCAGCTCCTTTAGAATGAATGTCCAAAAGAGATCATAATAGCCTAAATCTAATCTAATAAGGGGGTTCAGAGTTTGCAGTCATTCTAAAGGAAAACAGTCACATGTATATAATTTTCTCAAGAATTCAAAAGAAGTTTAATATGCTTTCCTAAACTTGTATTATTAGTCAAGCAGTTCAAGGAGAACAATTTGCCATGGACGGAACTATGAAAAGTTAAATCACTAAAAAATCGGTATTTTTCCACAACTGTCCTATATATAGATTTCTAATATGACTCCCATCCCCCACTCCCTTTTCGTTTGTTTGTTTGTTTGTTTTAAGAGACAAGGTGTCTCGCTCTCTCACCCAGGGTGGAATATAATGGTGCAATCACAGCTCATGTGCAGCCTTAACGTCTCCAAGCTCAAAAGATCTTCCTGCCTCAGCCTCCCACCATCCATAGTAGCTTGTACTACAGGTGTACTACACCGACGTATTTTAAAAGTAATAACATAACTACATCTACAATAAGAGTTAATTATATTGCTTTCAAAACTGGGGGAAAAGTCATAAAAATCAACTTGGCAATCATTCTCTGTATAATGAAATATATTACTCTTGTTTACTTTCCAACCAATATTATTCAAGCTTGAGCTTTTTCCTAGAAGATAAAAATCAAGCAAGAGTTCACTCTATCAAGAAAATGACAAAAAAATTTCGATGGACCTATAAAAACATTTCCAACACTCAACATTTCAAGAAGTAAAAAAAAAAAAAAAAAAGTCCAATTAAATGAAGCATTATGAAGTTTCAAGAGAATATAAAACTAGACACAAGTCTGGTTCGTTTCCTATTTCTTATCATCTGAAAAACTCTAGCCAACATGTTCAGACCACCATGGACTCCATGATAGCACAGAATTTAGTATGAGTCTATTCCAAACCCCAGCAATTTTTGAAAATGCTAGAAGACACTCAAGGTGACACATTACTGACTAAGAGAGACTTCCATTCATAAGACTACAAGCAAGAATATTACACAGATGGTCTAGTTCACACATTGACACACTGAGAAACACGTGTACCTACATGCAACTGGTTTCAGTTTTTCAGTGTGGGGACTTCTCTAAAGATGAAAACACATCGATATCTTATCCTAAGACTAAGTAGAAATGGAACTACTTTTTAGTCATGTGAAACTAAAGGTTTTAAAGACTGCACTATACTTTGAAAAAGAAAAAAAATCAAGTTTACGAAGATCTCACTTCCTAGATATGTAACCATGACCTCATTTCCTATCTATAAAATATGAGAAGTTTCTCCTATCTCTAAACTATGAAGAGCACCTATTTCACACAGCGGCTATGAAGACTAAATGAGAGCATATATAAAGTATAAAGTACTTAACATAGTATCGGTCATGCAAAAGTGTTCAATAATTTATACTTGTTTTGAAGATAACTCAAACTGGAATCGATCACAAGACACGGAAAGTACAGTAACATTATTTCAAATGCTACAAACTCAGTTTTTTAAATAAGATATGAGAAATCGACTAAATTTCTTTCCTCTGGGAAAAATTACTAATTAAATTAATATATAACTAAGACTGAAGGAGGGAGAGTAATCTCTCTGGTTTCAACACTTGGCATCTACTTGCCTAACAATTCATTCCCTGTTTTGGAGAACCTGTGCCCAAGACAAAGTAACTGGTCCTCGGCTTTCATGGAGTTGGTAAATAGCTCTAATACAAGGCAGGAAGTAGTAAGTGTTCAGACAATCATCTGACGTTTCCCTACTCTGTCTGAGCATTTCATGTATACACACACATCATTCTCATTGATTTTTCACAGCAGTCATCCAAAAGGTATGTACTATCTATCCATACTTTAGAGTTGAGCAAAGTGAAACCAAAAAAGGTGTGTTTGTCACCACACTCAGTGTTCCTTTCACATCCTGCCACTTCACATAAAAGAGATGTTAAGTCAAAAGAGAAGAATTAGTTTTGATTTGGTCAGAGCAGGATGGACCAAAGTCACCTTCACGAAGGAGAAATAATTTGAGTTGTGTTTTGTAGGAGAGAATGAATGTGAATATACAGATGCCACAGAAGGAAAGTAAGCAGAGAAAACAGCATAAACAGGCTGGAAAGGGGCATATACAGGGATCAGCAGGTGGTTCCAGGATGTGAACAGCAGATGAACAGGGTAAAAAGTGGCTGTTCATAGATGAGAAAGATAACCTTGGGCAAGAGAACATATGACCGTGGCTAGGGACGGTGGCTCATGCCTGTAATCCCAGCACTTTGGCAGGCTGAGGTAGGAGGATCGCATGAACTCAGGTGTTCAAGACCAGCATGATCAACATAGTGAGACCCCATCTCTACTAAAAATCTAAAAAATTAGCCTGGTGTGGTGGCTCATGCCCATAGTCCAAGACACTTGGGAGGGTGAGGCAGGAGGATCACTGGAGCCCGGGAGATCAAGGCTTCAGTGAACTATGATTGTGCCACCGCACTCCAGCCCAGGCGACAGAGCAAGACCCTGTCTCAAAACCAATAAACATGTGACTGAATCTACCACTAAGGCAGGAATGGAGGAGAGCAGCTGAGATTGGCATGTTCATGAATTGCCTGGGATTAACTATAATTACTTAAACAAAAATCCAGGCTCTAGCTATTTATACACACTTACGCAGTTAAATGCTCTTGTCTTTCAGTCTTCCTAATTTCTCTAATATTGCCAAATTTTCTTTTTCAATTCCTTCATCCTCCAACTTTTTCCCACTAATGGGCTCTGCTTTCATCTCGTAGTGATCTAAGTCTTCTATATCCTGCAAAAAGAAGAAAAATGTTAGCTTATTCAACCTATTTTTCTTCAGCAGTTTCTTATGCCAAAAGTTAAATTATTCTTGACTCAATGGGGGACAAGAAACAGAATATATCTATCCTACGGGGAGAGAGGAAAAGCCCCCACATTCCATTCAAGAGGCTCCCACCTTCTATATCCTACATTTTATTTAAAAGCTACACTCTGGGTAAAGCAGATTTCAAAGCTTTACAAAGTCATAACTATTAGGAAATAAGCCATCATTTATTTATTTACTTCTTTAATTTTTATTTCCTTTTTTAAAACAGAGTCTCACTCTGTCACCCAGGTGGGCGTATACAGGGGTGATCTCTGCTCACTACAAACTCTGCCTCCCAGGTTCAAGTGATTCTCGTGCCTCAGTCTCCTGAGTAGCTGGGATTTCAGACACCCATCACCACGCCCAGCTAATTTGTGTATATTTTTAGTAGAGACAGGGTTGCACCATGTTAGTACCAGCCTATCTGGGGCTTTATAAAGTTAAGAAAAGAGCCTGTATGCATGCTGAAGGCTGTGTGACCACAGGGCTTTTAAAGGATGCTTCTGTGTTCCCACAGTTAGGTGGGAGCTCTTGGAAGGATCTCTTTTATCCCAGTGCTCTTGCTAAGAATGGAAAGCCCCTCTGCATAACTGCAGCAGCTGGTGCCATCCTCTGTTCACTTGCATCAGAGCCTGGGAGGTTGTGGTCTGCAAAGCTCACCTCTCATAATGGGACGCCAATCAATAGTATCCGAAGTTGATATACCCAGAAAGAGAGTTCAAAAATTATTTAGAGAGGTGGAAAATAATCACCAGTAGAATTAAAATCAGAAACGACAAAGTTGGCCAGCGGAGTGGGGAAGTCCAGATTGGGGAATGTGATGTTTCATTATAAGGTCTTTCAGCATTTGCTTACTTTGGTCTGAGTGAAAGAATTGTCTCATTTTTTTGAGGGCCATGTACAGCAAAGGACTCACCATCTGTCAGACACACTGGTCAGTTCTGGCAAGGCAGAGTTGGAGGTTCCTGTCCTCAGGTGGGTGGGCAGGGACGGCAGCTTGCCGTAAGGTATCCAACAGCACCAGCGGCAGGAAATGAAAAGTGCTCAGTGATTGGTGGGATAGTGGTGTCTAGCACAATGATTCCTGCCAAAATCTTAATGGTGGTTGGGCATAGTGGCTCAAGCTTGTAATCCCAGCACTTTGGGAGGCCGAGGTGGGTGGGTCACTTGAGGTCAGGAGTTCAAGACTAGCCTGGCCAACATGGTGACACTCTGTCTCTACTAAAAAAATACAAAAATTAGCCGGGCGTGGTGGCACGCACCTGTAATCCCAGCTACTCGGGAGGCTGAGGCAGGAGAATTGCTTGAACCTGGGAGGCAGAGGTTGCAGTGAGCAAAGATTGTGCCACTGCACTCCAGGCTGGCCAACAGAGTAAAACTCCATCTCAAAAAAAATAAACAAATAAAGCCACAAAAACAAACAAACAAAAAAACCCAATGGTGTGCAATAAATGAAAATGCTGCCCCAGTCAGACGGGACTAGCATTTTTCAGCAACTTTCAAGGTCTTGTGTCACAAGAATGAAGATCCGAGTATTTCCCACCTGTGGAGGGGGCTGGTGAAGGAGTTTTCAGTCCCGGGCACCCTGGGCTGTGCTGAAAGCCTCTGCGTCACACTGCGTGAGTTAGTTGGGAAAGAGAGCTCCCACTGTTCTCTTTTAACCCTTGTCCTTTTGTACCACAGCAATTGCTTTCCTGGAGATCAGAACCGTGGCTGGGTTTAACATCATCTTTGGAAATCCTAAAAGGCAATGAAGCAATTTTTCTCTTTTCATTTATATATTTTTTTGATACAGCTGTGTCAGTTTGAAATTTTACTTTCGTATCAGTTCTAATAGTGTGTCTGCTTGACATAGTTTCTATTAAATGGGCTTGATATGAAGTTACTTAAAAATTCAAGTATTTAGAGTTTCAGGGCCCATCGTCTTGATTTTTGGGGCAATACCTCAATTTCATACTGTGTTATTCTTTTCCAGAGAGATGGGTCACTGAATAACTTACATTTTATGATTGTTTTATGAGAAACTATTTCTGGTTACAAATGGTAAACATCTAGGTTTTGCAGTAAGAAATAATGGATTATGTTAGAAAAAAAGAACCATAAGAAGATGTGTTTTTAATTTTGACTTCCTGTAAGTACCTTCTGGAGCAGAAGGTTTTCTCTTTGTGGATTCTGCATCTTGGATTTGGGGACTCTGTTGCACTGAGCTGTGCTCTGTGGGGAGGAGCCTGTGGCAGAACAGTTTGGGTTCTGCTGGCCGCCTTTCCCTCTATTCACGGAGTCTGGGTCCCAGAGAAAGATGACAGCAGTTAGGTCTTGTTGGGAAAAAAACGCGGCTACCAACCCTGGACCATTTTGCTTCCCCTGAACAAATAAGATAGTCATTTGCCTACTTTTGGGGACGGTGCCTGTGCTTTGCACAGGACGAGGTGGCAGCTGGCTTGCCTGCTGGCCTGCTTCCTGGAGATAGGATGCTCAGACCCACCGCTGCTCTTCAGGGGTCGTGGAAGGAATTAATGCACTTCCTTCTGTCCCCCAATCTCTGTCCCTTTACGTGTCTCTGGAGCTGAGCAGGTATTCTTTTTCTTTCTTCATCTCAGTAGAGCTGTTAAATTAAATAGATGTTGCTTAAGCCATTCAGAAAGGTTTCACATTTTAAAAAACAAAAGGTAGCTGCTGCCATGATTCCTTTGCCCACCGCTACACCGTGTCGTTGTAGGACAGTCCCCACTTGGCTGTGCTGAGCCTGTCTGGAAGTGTTTCTGATTCTAATCAGAAGTGGAACAGTTTCAGTGCAGACTATAGGTTCATGTTAGTGATGAACTTGGGTGGAGATGGGGACACAGCTTGTTCTTTCCTCCTGGACTCTCATCCAGGGTCCTGAGCTGCCAGGGGCCTGGCCACTCTCACCCTGAGCCCTGCCCTGGCTGAGCTGATCACCGCTGCATGTCCCAGGCTGCCGGTCTGCCTGTCACCTGCAGTGCACATGTGTGCATGTGTGTGCATACGTACATGCACCACACACATACCATGCCCACCTCATACACACCACACACATACCCCATACACACCACACACCAACCACACACATTACACACACTGCATACATATCACACACCACAAACACTACACCACGCACACAAAACATACATACACGCTCAAGCCTTCCACACTACATTACACTCCACACACACCACACATCACACTCCACACACACCACACGCACATATCACATTCACATCACACCACACCACATACCACACACCATACACAGTACACTCCACACACCACACCCTCCAGGACGTCCCACCACCATACACACACAAACACCACACACCCACACCATACTACACATTTACCACATACACACCACACACACTGTATCTCATGAACACACCACACACCCCCGCCACACACATTTGCATGCAAACTACTCATTGAATGAAACCGAATGATTTAGTTTTCCCCAAATTAATACTGCCTGCGCACCCCTGGCTGTCCTGGCCGGCACATCCCCCGGTCCTGCCCTCCCTTGGGTCAGCACCGCCTCCTGTGTCTCAGGTGTCTCTGGCTGTGCCCTGTGGCGTGCTCATGTCCTGATCTTGTGGGAGGCTGGCTCCTCTGCTCCAGTGGCTGCCTTCCTAGAGGAGACCAGCTTGTTTGTCACCTCTCCTGATGCCCAGAGCAGCAGCCCACGGGGGAAGTCCTGCTTCCTCCCTTCGCTGTCTGCCCTTCCCCACAGGTTGTTTTGTCTCAGTGCTGATATCTCCCCAGCTAGAAGAGGAGACCCTCAAAGGTGCACAGGTGGATTTGATTATAATGCAGGTGAATATTAAATGCGTTTTGGTGAAACACTCAACCACTACATACATCTTTAATAAAGTAAAATGTCCAGGCCCCCTCTGCTCCCACCTCTCTCTCCCCTCCCACCTCTCTCCCCCCTCCCACCTCTCTCCCCCCTCCCCTCCCCAGAGGACGTGGCTGACAAGCCTTTGAGGGGTTTCCCCTTTCTGTGTGCCTTTGCGTGTATGTATGGGCTGGGCGGTGTGTGTATTCTCTAGACATCTTGACGGACCTGTAACTGGGATCTACACACGTGCGCTTGCTGTAGCTCACTTGCCATTTTCCCTCAAAAATAGGCCTGTAAAATCCCTCACTGTAGTGCGTGTTGCCCTGCCTCTTTAAAAATGCCACCAACTCTTCCAGCACGTGAACTCTGCCGTCATTTTTTTAAACATTCTCTTATTTATGGGTACTTAGGTTGTTTCCAGTTTTTTAAAAGATTGCAGCAATGAAAATCTTCAGCAATCATTTTTCACAGTGCTGTGGGAGAACGTGGTTGGAGGTGCTGTGGCGGTGGAGTGGCCCCACACGTGGCCAGGCTTTGTGGGGTTCTGACTCTGTCCTTGCCAATGTTCCTCCACACAGTGGCTGCCTCTGGGGAATGATGGCTGTGTGAGCGCCCGCCATGCCCCACCAGAAGAGTCTACCATGGCCCACCGGAAGCGTCTACCATGGCCCACCAGAAGCGTCAGAGCGCGGGGAGCAGCATGTTGGACCACAGGGCAAGGCCGGGTCCTGTCCCCCACCACCAGGAGCCCGAGAGCGAGGACGTGGAGCTGCCCTTGGAGGACTATGTGCCCGAGGGCCTGGAGCTGGTCACCCTGCGGCCAGAGAGCCCCACGCCCAAGGAGCAGGAGCGCCACAACCACAGCCCCGATGGGGACTCCAGTTCCGACTACGTGAACAACACCTCTGAGGAGGACGACTATGATGAGGGCCTCCCTGAGGAGGAGGAGGGCATCCCCTACTACATCCGCTACTGCCCTGAGGACGAAAGCTACCTGGAGAGCATGGACTGCAATGGGGAGGTGTACCTGGCCCACGGCGCGCATCCTATGGACACTGACGGGTGCCAGGATGCAGTGGACTCGACGGCCTGGGAGGGCCTGCACCCCCATGGTCACGGGGCTAAAGGTAGCCAGGACTACCCTGACGGCCAACTGCCCATCACGGAGGATGTGTCCTCCGTCCTGGAGGCCCACGACCAGGAAGAAGACGGTCACTACTGTCCCAGCAAAGAGGGCTACCAGGACTACTACCCTGTGGAGGCTAACGGGAACACCAGCGCTTCTGCCTACCCCCTGAGGTGCGGGGACGGGGACCTGGAGGACCAGGAGGAGGACATCAACCAGATCGTGGCAGAGATCAAGATAAGCCTGAGTATGACCAGCATCACCAGCACCAGTGAGGCCATCCCCGAGCATGGACCTGAGCCAGGGCCTGCGGACTCTGCAGAGGGCTGCCCACCCATCAAGGCCAGCTGCAGCTCCAGCAGGCAAGAGGCGAGGCCCAAGTCGCTGAACCTCCTTCCCGAGGCCAAGCACCCCGGAGACCCCCAGGGAGGCTTCAAGTCCAAGACCAGACCCCAGAAGACAGGCTGAAGTGGCCTCATGAGCAGGTAGGACTCTAGCTGTCCCGGGGAAAGGAGCAGAGGGGCCCTAGAGCAAGGGACCTCAGGGTACAGGCCTCGCAGATGCTGAAGCGAGGTGGTGGGCAGTACTGGGTGCCTTACAGTTCTAATGGTGGCTGAGCTCTTCATTGGTCCAGTTGGGAGACATGTTGCGTGGATGCTCTGGCCACTCTTAAGCTCACCGCTCAGACTCAGGACTAAAGCCGGTTGAGGGCTGAGTGGCAACTCGTGTCTCGCAGAAGACACCCCTCCTCCCACCCTAGAAGAGAGGTTCAATTTCTTGCCCACTGCCCTAGGTCTGCTCATGGTGGGGCAGTATGTGTGGGAGAGCCCCTCAATCCTCAGGGGTGTACTCAGACCAGCAGGGCAGTGGCAAAGACGTGGGGGTGCTGGTGCTCACCCACTGCTGCGGCCAGTGTTGGGTGGCCTGGTGGCTGGGGTGGGGGCCAGAGTGCATTTCACAATGGACAGGTGTCTGAAAGCTGGGGGGCCTTGGCCTGACAGGCAATCAGCTGTGAATACCTATTTGGAAAAGGATTTTTTGACGGTGTGACAAAACCTCGGGGAAGAAACGCATGCTAATGAGGGCAGTGGATGTCAGCATAACTGTATTTTAATTATAGCAAAGTCAGCGTGCATTCTAATAAACACATTTGAAAAGCCGCCTTCCAAAAAAAAGCCTCACTGTGAGTATATATTATAGAAGATGTGATTATTGGACTCGGGTGAAGGAACTTCTATTTGGCCAATTATGTGGACTGCTTTCATATTTTTTAAAGCTTTAACTACTATTTTTTTCTGAGAAGAATTCATGAATGTGTGTGTGTGTGTGTGTGTGTGTGTGTGTGTGTCTGTGTACTGAGAGCTTGGGTTTGGAATGGAAATCATATTGACTCCTGGATTTTCAGCACTTGTATCTTAATGTCTTGTCTTCTCTCTAGAACACATTGTGTCAGTTGACTTCACTTTGGGGCTGTTCCTGTCATTCACAGCAATTCTGTGTTTACAGGGGGCTGTGGGATGCATAGGAAGTCCTATGGTGATGGCAGGCATGGGAATTTTACCCCAAGGGACTATGGTAATAGGGGGCTGACCAAGAATAACTCCTAATCCTATGTCACATAATACCATGAGCAGCTCAGGAAAACTACGCACAACTCAGACATGTGCAGAAAGGAGATGTGGAATGAAATGGAGCCCCCTGGCCTTATAGAGGCCTCCAAGACCTGCCACACCCACGTCTGCCCCCAACTCCCCAGTCAACCTTCAGAGAAGAGAAGGTGATCTCTCTCCAGCTGAGACCAAGCCAAGGCCCAAACTGTTGTAGCTGAAGGATGTTTGGGCTAGGCTCATAGAAGCTGTTCCACTCCTGCAGTGTCAACAGCTGCCTGTGGTCCAGGCTTCTGTCTGGTCCTGGGTTTTTTTTTTTTTTTTTTTGAGATGGAGTCTTGCTGTGTTGCCCAGGCTGGAGTGCAATGGCGTGATCTCAGCTCACTGCAATCTCTGCCTCCCGGGCTCAAGCAGTTCTTCTGTCTCAACCTCCCGAGTAGCTGGGATTACAGGCACCCGCAATCATGCTCGGCTAATTTTCATATTTTTGTAGAGACAGGGTCTCACCATGTTGGCCAGGCTGGTCTAGAACTCCTGACCTCAGGTGATCCACCCACCTCAGCCTCCCAAAATGCTGGGGTTACAGGTGTTAGCCACCGCACTCAGCCTTGAAGAGACACTGGGCCTTTTAAGAGACACTGGGTGCTGACTCACTTCTGGGTCTGCCCCATGGGTGGCCCACCGGGTCTGCTCTGGGTGCAGCCAGGCTGTGCACGTCAGGGAGCCTGAGCTGGACTTAAGGTGGGGAGACATCGCTCCCCAAGAGCTGCTCGGGTGCGACATCAGGGTGGAGGCTGTTGCTGTGTGTGGCGGCATCACTCATTTACCCTCGTCTCATCAGCCTCTGTCCTTCGGCTCATCTGCTTGCAGGTGGCCTCTGATTCTGCCTCTGGAGCCTGTCTGCCCCCTCTTGATTCATTCATTGGGTCCCAAATATGTGAACAATAGCATGCTAGCCACTTTTAGAAATATTTGTGTTCATCTTCAAGAGAGGGGGGTCATCCAGCCATTCCCCAGCCCTCAAAACCCACTCCACAGACAAAGCAGTGGCGGGTCAGGGCTCCTCTTGCTCTTCTGAGCCGCTGGCATAGCGAACACGGTACAAAAGAAAAGGATTTCACATGCAATAGAATTTCATTCACCCTGAAAAGGGAAGGAAATTCTGACACAGGCTACAATATGGATAAACCTTGAGGACATCCTGCTAGAGCCAGTCACAAAAGGACAAGTACTGTGTGATTCCACTTCTCTGAGGCACCCACAGTAGAGTCACAGAGACAGGAAGTAGAATGCGGGTGGCCAGGGGCTGGAGAGAGCAGGGAGTGGGGAGCTGGTGTTTAATGGGTGCAGAGGTTCCGTTGTGAAGATGGAAAAGTTCTGGAGATGCATGGTGGTGAAGACGGCACAACAGTGTGAATGTACTTAATGCCACTGAACTCTACACCTAAAAATGGTTAAGATGATAAATTTTACATTATGTATATTTACCACAATAAAAGAAATAAGAAATAAAAGGTTTTTGGATGATGAACGGGCTCGAGCCAATTTGGACCCTCTAAAGCTAAGTTGAGCCAGGCTGAACCCATGTAGCCAGAATCATACTGGATTAGGCTGTTCTAGCACTTCACGTGGTGAGAATGGGGGAGAGAGAGAGAGATTGATTGATCAGGGGGCTGTGCAGGGGGCGTGCTACACACTTGTAAACAGCCAGATCTCTTGTGAACTCAGAGCAAGAGTTCACCTATCACCAAGAGGATGGCCCAAGTCATTCATGAGAGATTTGCCCCATGATCCAGACACTTACCTCCCACCAGGCCCCACCACCAGCATTGGGGATTGCATTTCAATATGAGATTGAGGTGGGGACAAATATCCAAACTGTATCACCCACAAAGAAGCAAAAACATTTTGGGCCAAATCAAAACTATTTTGATGTAGCCACAGTAGGGATGAGCTGTGATTACACCCATTCAGGCCTGTGGACCTGCGGACCTGGCGTGTGTGGTCGTGGGGCGGTGGGTGGGCACATCCCTGGGAGGTTTCAGGAGGACATTCAAGACCAAAATGAGCCATGAGTAAATAATACAACCACATCCTGAGTGGGAGTGGGGGAGCCTCCCCTTCTCTCCTAGGTCTTGTATGGGTCATGATCCCACCTTGGCAGGAGTGGAAGGAACACAGATCCTACAGGTTGTGGCTTATAGTAAAGTGACTGTGGTCATGCCTTGTGAGTGTCATTAAAATAAACAGATATCGTTAAATCCACTATCAAATAACAGCGATTTCTGCTATCCTTTCACCTTTTCCACAAGTTTAAATATCCCAGATATTCTACTGTGTATATTCCTAAAAGTAGACAGGTAGATTTAGTGAAGTTAACTGGATCATTGGTATCTTCTTTATAGATCATCTGGTGAAACTTGTTTTGCAAATTATGAGTTGTAGGCCTTTGTTTTAATGTCTGTAGCCTTAGGCAGTTCCATTGAGACTAACTCAGTTTTTTTCTTATTAGGACTAATCTTATTGACCGGAACTGTGGACTCCCCGTATTAGGAGAACAGAGATCTGGCCTGTGTAAATGAGTGGAAGTTAAATACTGTAGAAAATGCCCTCTGGAAACTGAAATCTAATGCTGACTTACTATTGGTCATTTAATTTCCTTCTGGCTTGGGCACCATCGTTACATTCATTTTTCAGATGTCAAGCTAGTTTTCTCAGAATGTGTGCAGGGCTCGAGGCCGAGTGTGGAGGCCACTGGGTGAATACAGGAGAGGTCACAGGTCAAGCCTCCTGCGAGAACTGCAGGCTTGAGCCTTCGATAGAGCCACGTGAATGATTTTTAGCCCCACTAGGTTGCTGTCATTAAACTATGCACACAGGGCTTCTTGCTTTTAAGTTAGCAGGATGGAAAAATTGCAGGTGTTTGCAGCAAACATGAAGAACCAGCCATGCTGGCCCCTAAGCAATGGTATTACAAAGGGTTGGTGAAGATTTTCTCATTTGAGAACTGAACAAAACCAAATGGAATTCTCCCTAGTTCTGCAGCTCTGGGGGCTGTAAGCGGCGGAGCTTCCACCTTCCCTACAAACGGACCCAGAGTGGCACCTGGTATGTGAGGCAGGTGACCAGGAGAAGGGGGTGTCAGTGGTTGATGGGCAGCTGCCTCTGCTGCCTGGTTGACCCAGCCCCTTCCTGGGTCATCTCCCACTTTGCCTGGGTGTCAGTCACTGGAGGGTTAGCGCAGTACAAGCTGGCGGGTGACCTCCGTAGAGCTTAGGTGAAGGGGCTCTCACAGGGCAGTATGTTTGAGACCCTTAGAGGGCTCTCCTTACTCTTGCTTCTCCCATTATTTTTAAATTGTAGTAATACACTTGTAACATAAAGTTTACCACTTTAAAGTGTACAATTCAGTGGCATTTAGTACAATGTTGTGCAACCACCTCTGATATTTAGTTCCAGAACATTTTCACTGCCCCCAGAGGAGACCCTGTACTTATTAAGCAGTCACTCCTCATTCTTCCCTCTCCCCGCAGCCCCCACAATGAAAAATCTGTTTTCTCACTTTGGATTTGCCTATTCCGGATATTCCATAAAGACGGGATCAGACAATATGTGCCCTTTAGTGTCTGGCTTATTTCACCAACATAATGTTTTCAGGGTTCATCCCTGTTGTAGCACGTGTCAGTACTTCGTTCATTTCTGTGGCTGAATGATATTCCACTGAATGGCTATGTTTTTATTTTCATTTTTACTTTTTGAGATGGAGTTTCACTCGTCGCCCAGGCTGGAGTGCAGTGGTGTGATCTCGGCTCACTGCAGCTGAAGGGCTATATTAAGTTTCATTTATCCATTCATCCACTGAGGGACATTTGAGTTGTTTCTACCTTTTGATTAATGTGAATTCTGCTGCTGTGACCATGTGTATACAAGCTTTTGGGAAATTTTATTTGGCTAGTCGTAACTTTAAGTTTTGTTTTGGCTATTTATTGTTGCTTAACCAATTATCCCAAAACTTAATGGCATAAAACGGCAAATTTGTCTCTCTCTCACTATTGTATGGGTTAATGGGCTAGCTGGACAGTTTTTCTGCTGGTCTCATTTGGCAGCTCTCACTGTGCAGTTAGACAGTGTCAGGGACTGGTCGTCTGGATGCTCAGCTGCAGTGGAACGTCTGAGACGGCTTCTTCACCCACAGGTCTGCTGCCTTGGTGTTTCTTCATGTGGCCTTTCTACATAGCATCTCATACTCTTGGCCCTCTTCATGTAGCTTCTCTTTCTCCAAGAGGATAGTCAGTTCTTCTTTTTGGCTTCCAGAAGCACAAAAGTGCAAGCTGTCAGATGTTCTTAAGGCTTAGACCTAGAACAGGTCCAGTTTCATTTCTACCACATTCTATAGGTTAAAGGAAGTCTCGGAGCCAACCTTGATTCACTGTGGAATGGGCCCTTCCGAGGACCTGAATGACAGGAGTTGTGGCTCATTGGGGACCAACTCCAAAGATGAAGCCTGAGTTCTGAGAACTTTTTCTTCTCTGATTACTCCTTATTCATATTTTATGTTTTGTTTTATAGATGTAATATATTCACAAGTGTCTTTAAGGAGCTATTTTGATACTCTTTTGTCCTCTCCCTAGCAGGTCTTTTTTCTTTAATAATTTTTTTCTTAGTTTATTTTGGTCTTAGTTTTCTTTCAAAAGCCTTTCCCAAAATATCTATTCTATGTTGCTCATCATTTGTCATCTTTTTTAAAATGCCCCCTTTTGTTCATTCATATTTGAGAGAAGGACTAAAAGACTGACTGGGAGGCTGGGTGTGGTAGCTCACATCTATAATCTCAGTGCTTTGGGAGGCTGAGGTGGGAGGATCACTTGAGCCCAGGAGCTCAAGACTAGCCTGGGCAACACAGTGAGACCCCCATCTCTAGAAAAAATAAAAATTAGCCGGATGTGGTGGTGCCCGCCTGTAGTCCCAGCTACTCAGGAGGCTGAGGTGGGAGGACTGCTTAAGCCCAGGAGATTGAGGCTGCAGTGAGCTATGATCATGCCACTGCATTCCAGCCTGGGCGAAAGAGTGAGACATTGTCTCAAAAAATAAATAAATAAATAAATAAATAAAAAAGAAGTTTGGGAGTTCTTTCTGGCCAAGACTTGTCAACTGATAGCTTTTAGGGGAAAGGGTTTTTAGGGGGAATTTATGCTGATTCCCAATTGTTATCCCCACCCCTCTATCTTATCTCTTTGCGCAATCATAAATGATGGCAGGAACTACTCCATTCCTCTGGAGGTGAAATCTACGTTCTCTTGCCTGAGGTAGATACATGTTTGCTGGGGTTCTGCTTAAGGAAATGTGGGAGAACAATGTGTTTCAGGGCCTGGAAAATGTGTTCTGTATGTAGGCTTTTGGTTAATCTGTTTTCAGTCTTGCCTATCAGTCCCACTCTCCGGGGTACCTGGTGTCGGAGTCTAGTGCCTCTGCAGGGTACTGTGGGACAAATTAGCCTCCTTGTTATCGGTATCCCCCTAACCTCCACCTTTGTTTGCTTTGCTTCATTAATTAACCATTTCCCATTTACTGTCATTGTCTATTGGAGGTGAATTCTCTTCTCTTGGTAACCCCATCCCTTTTTTTTTGTAATTGTGTGTGTTTATACAATCTTTATTCTTCACTGTAATTCCCATGGAGCCTCAGGAAAAAGAGCAGATGGGAGAAATACGTGTTCAGTGTTCAGTTTTCCTTCTGTAAGACACCTGCAACCTGTGTTTTTCACAGAATAGACCATGGACTTAAAGCATAAAGAGCTACTTTGTTTTTCATGATTGTGCCTTCAATTCTATGTAGAAATATAATCTGTGAATTACCTGATGAAATTTTCCTAATTTTGAATCATCCTTGTATTTCTATAATAAACACTGTTAGAATGCATACGGTAGTGTTTTATTTTTGCATTTTTACTTTTATATTAAATAAGATTATAGTTTTGTTTCCTTCCTTCTAGGCTCTTATTTCATTTCCGTACCAATGGTATGCAGGGCTGACTTGGGAAGCTTACATGTTTTTCTAAGATCTAGGATGTAGCTCTAGTTTACACAGTAATTTTCAACTGAAGGAGATTTTTGCCCCCCATGGGATGTTTGGAAATAATCTGGAGACATTTTCGGTTGTCACAACTGGTCATGATGGGAGGTGCTATTGGCATCTCTTGGGTAGAGGGGGTGTTACTAAACGTCCTACAACACACAGGAGAACCCTCCACAAATTGTCTGGCCCAGTATATACACATCGCTGAGGCTGAGAAACCCTGGTTTAAATAAATGTCCAATTTGGAGAGTGAGTCTTTGACTGCCATTTTTCTTCTTCTATGTGTTGGTCTCCAGATTTCCCACTTTTTCAGTTAGTTGTAGTAACTGTAGATTCTTTAAAAAAAAAAAAAAAAAGGATTGCTTCATCTTTACTTCTAGGCTGCTGTAAAGATGTATAAGGTTTTCACTTTTTGCATCATATTCACATTAGAAACAGCTGAGTTTTGGAGGGAACACATTCAAACGGTAGCAAATTTAGTAGAGCAAATTCCAAAGACATTGAGTCTAGGCCAGTTGTCAGTCCTGGGTATAATTTTAGATGTTTTCAGGCTCTGAAGCTTTCCATTTAAATGCAAATTTCGGAACAAAGATCTGTGTCTCTGCACTGACCAAATAGAAGGTATGTGAATGTTATGGTCTTGATTGTTTTACAAGATTTTTTCTGCAGGTACTTTTGCAAGTGTGTAGGGAGAGATGAGAAGTTCCAAGGAAAAGGGTGTGAGGTCTTTGGGGCCAGCTTTGAGCTGGCAAGGCTAAATTATAGGAAGAAGGCAGAGAGGTGGGCAGAGACCAGATGTGGGAGGACTTCCTGTGTCATGCCACGGAGTCTGGACTCCACCCTGTAGGTGACGGGAGCCAAGACAGGGCTTGGCACAAACACATGGCACATTTGTGGTTAAGAAACGTCTTCCTTGCTTCCTTGTGGCCTTGAGGGATGAATTAAGGGGCTGGAAAACCGGGAGCAGGACGGCCTGTGCCCATGGTTCAGGTGAGAGCCGGGTGGGTGGCAGGGGCTACGGAGAAGGCGGTTGAGTTTAGCCCCAGTTCCCAACAGGTGCTGTGGGGAGGAAGAATTTCCAGCTGCCAGGTCAGCCTCTTAGATCCATTTCTCTTTTTTTTTTTTTTTTTGAGACGGAGTCTCACTCTTGTCGCCCAGGCTGGAGTGCAATGGTGTGATCTTGGCTCACTGCAACCTCCGCCTCCCAGGTTCAAGCAATTCTGTGGCCTCAGCCTCCCTAGTAGCAGGGATTACAGGCGTCCGCCACCACGCCTGGCTAATTTTTGTATTTTTGTAGAGACAGGGTTTCCCCATGTTGGCCAGGCTGGTCTCGAACTCCTGACCTCAGGTGATCCACCCGCCTCGGCCTCCCAAAGTGCTGGGAATACAGGCTTGAGCCACCGCGCCCGGCCCTTGGATTAATTTCTTCATGCTTAAAATGAAGGAAACGTGAATCATTGATAAGGTGTCCCCTCTTTAACAAAGCAACAGATGGTTTATCAGGGCCTCTCTTCGCAGGCAGTGGGGCCTCATCCACAACCCTGGAAAAGAACTGGAAAGCGTTGCTCAGCCAGGTACGGAGGGCAGGGCCATGTGGGACTCCCGTCTCCAGGCCCCCTCTCCCCAGCTCCCGTTTCTTTCTTTCTTTCTTTCTTTCTTTTTTTTCTGAGACGGAGTTTCTCTCTTGTTGCCCAGGCTGGAGTGCATGTTGCTGTGCACTTTGAGGGCAGGAACTGGCTCCTGCT
Organism: Homo sapiens; assembly: GCF_000001405.40. Taxonomy (NCBI): domain Eukaryota; kingdom Metazoa; phylum Chordata; class Mammalia; order Primates; family Hominidae; genus Homo; species Homo sapiens. The sequence continues at coordinate 165,629 of NW_025791798.1, forward strand.
CCAGTTTGCATCCTCTGCGCCCGGCACCAGGCCCGTCTGCTCAATGCAGGATAAGCAGGTAGCTTCGGGCTGTCCACCCAGCCCTTGCAGAGGGTGGAGCTACAGAGAGCATGAGTGGCCAAGATGAAGCCCTCATTGGATTCTTTGACTCTTTCTACTATGTGAGATATTCTTGATGTCTGAGGGATGAACGGCAAACAAAGTGTGGCCTACCCATACAATGGGGACAGTAGTTAGCCCTAAGAAGGAAGGAAGTTCTGACGCACGCTACAACACAGGTGGGCCTTGAGAACGTCACGCTAAGTCAAAGAAGCCAGTTGGAAAAAGACAAATGATTGTATGATTTCACTCACATGTGGCACCTGGAGTCGTCAAATTCAGAGACAGAAAGTAGAATGGTGGCTGCCAGGGGCTGGGGGAGGCGGAAAGGGGAGTTAGCGGACACAGAGTTTCAGATTGCAAGATGAAGAAAGTTCTGGAGATGGATGGTGGTGATGGCTGCACAACACTGTGAGTGTATTTAATGCCACAGAATCATACACGTAGAAGTATTTCAGATGGTAAATTTCATCTTTTGTGTATTTACCATAATTTTTAAAAACTAAGAAAATTAAGATATCCTTGATGTCAGATGCCAGGAGAGCGGTGTCAGGCATCTCACCAGCCGATTCTCCCAGAAGTTTTCCTCCATCGGGTAACCACGAGCCTGGGGTATCACAAAGAGAAGCCTCAGTGTAAAATCAACAATCTCAGTGGAGTGGCTTCATCAGGGAGTGACAGGGGCGTGATTTACTACTGGAGGACAAGGCAGCAGGCAGGGAAGATGGCCCAAGCCTGCTTTGAACTGTAAGGAGCACGCAGAACCTCTTATCCAGACCCGGAGGGCTGCCCTGTTGACAGCACAAGCAGCTCAGGGCCAGCGGCGCAGGAAAACCCCAGGGTCCAGCCAGGTCACGGGCACAGGCCTGCACTCACGGGTCACTGCAGTGAGGATGGAGGTGTCACTGCAAATGCGTAAGAGGATATTTTCAGCAATAGTAAAATTTTTAACAGATTTTAGAAATGAAAGGGTTCCCCCTGCATATGTCAAGAACCTGAGTTTCTTTCTGAAACTTGGGTGGGACCCTTTAGAGTTGCTTCAAATAGAAAACACACCATCGGCGGCCACTCCCCTGAGGAAAGGCAGACTTCATGGCTGAAAGCGTCACCCGAGTGCTCCCGGTTTTCAGCATCACACGGAGTGGCTCAGGTGCCCATTCATTTTATGAGTCAGCCTGGGGAGAGTACCCACAGATTCGGAGTCACATCTCTGATGGGACACAAGCTCTACCCTTTCCAAGCATTGATGATCCTGAGGTTGATCAATACTGAGCATTGATGTCTGTGAAAACAAATCACTTAGGTGCAGAGACACCGCAATGACCATCCCGCCGGGGGCAACCGCCTGATTCCTTCCACATCCTGGTCAACATCCCTGGCCAACAGGGCAGCCCACGGACAGCTGCTCTGCCTGGCTCCTGCTGAAAAGCCAACAGCACAACAACTCTGCCCTCCATACAAAACCACATGGGCCCTCGAGATCACACTGGGGCGCCCCCTTTGCCCCCACTTCCTTGGGCTGTGGCTGGCCTGTCTGACATTTGCTCTGGGAGATGAGCCAGGGTCTGCCCAGGCCACCACGGGGGCAGAGACGTGAAACAGGCTTCAGCTACTAATTTTCCATTAAACGACAAGAAAATCGGCTATTGTGAGAAGAGTCACATGAAGGTACCCAAAAGTTGTCACAGTCCACTCACTCGAAATAAAACCCATCCCATTAGGAACACTGTCATTGCAGCCCATCTCCAGCACTCTGCTCTGTATAAAAGACTGACTGTGGCAAGATAAGGGTTTAAAATTGAAAATCAAAGAGCCATTCCTCAGTGATACCCAGGAAATGACGCACACGGGCTGATATTAAACCCACCCACACCAAGAATCCTAAAAGTTAACGTACAGATTACTCGTTTTCAAGCAACACACAATGATACAAGTAAGTCCTCAAGAAGACTGCATGGGTTGAGGCACTGGACTTCTAATCATGCCATCTCTCAGCTCAGGGGTCCACGACAAAGCTAACCCCACTGAGATGAAAAGCCACTTACCCCTTTTTCATCACTCGCAATACAAATTTCAGAACCCATCCCAAACTGGAAGGAAGGATACGACTGAAACTCAACTCATGCCCAGCTAACCTGGGAAGTACACCCTCCTCAGATAATGGAGACCCACCAATTCCCGGGTGTCAGACGTCACACAACCTCTTCTCCCACCAGGGCTGGGGACCCTCAGGAAAGTCAGGTGTCCCTGAGAAACACCCGGCAACATGCAGAACCACAGAGACAGGAGGCAAGGTTCCAGACAAATACACCCAGTAGACAGTTAAAGATTTCAGAGCTGGAGAGAGCTTAGGACACCCCGATTCTCAGACTGCAGACAGCAGGTGGACACCACTGAGCTGGCGACAGCCCCAAAAGAGGTCAGCTTGACTGCGACGAGGGGACGTCTTCATTATCTGTCCAGTGCTCTCTGACATCACCCCACCCCGCCTCCTGTAGCAGTGTTCTATCTACATGAAATTAACCTCACGTATAAAACATATTCCTGGTTCATTGGCAAACAGGCAGCTCTGAGCAGCACATTCAGAAGTTGCCAACTTTGGGAGGCAGAGGAGTTCGAGATCAGCCTGGGCAACATGGTGAAACCCCATCTCTAGGAAACATTTATAAGTCAGCTGGATATGGAGGCACGTGCCTGTGATCCCAGCTACTCTGGAGGCTGAGGTGAGAGGATCACTTGAGCTCAAGTGGTCAAGGCTGCAGTGAGCCAAGATCACACCACTGCACTCCAGTCTGAGCAACATAGTGAGATCCCGTCTCAAAAAGAAAAGAGGTTGCCAGATTAATCCAGTACACACTTCTTTAATCCCGTAGTAAATTTTCTCTTTATAGCCAATTCCCAAAGTCAAGTATATTGACTCATAAAAATACCTTCTGGGAAGCATGTGACTGATTTCCAGCTGAGAGGCCCTGCCACTGGATGGTTAAGTTCATAGGCCCCAGAGTCAGAAGGGGGTTGGAATCTCCCCTCTGCCATGCCTGCTACTTGGCCTTGTGTACGCTCGCGCTCGTGCGCTTGTGCGCTCTCTCTCGCTCTCGCTCTCTCTCTCTCATGCTGATTCTGCAGGCATTCTACAGGCCTCCCATGTCCCAGGAGCCAGCTCTGTCCACAGTGCTCTTCCTGCTCCTGCTCCTGGCCAACCCTCCAACCAAGGTGTCTAGGAGCCACAGGGAAGAGCGGGTTCTCTTGCTAGTTGCTCTTCCACTAGGCTGTGACACGCTGGCCGAGCTCCGCCTCCACCGGCTCTGAAGACAGCACAGACAACTGTTCCACCTCTTCCACTTCCACTGAGCAGAGGAACTGCGTCTGAATGAAGCCAGAAATGGGGCATTTGGGGACCGCAACAGAGAACGGATGCCTAGCAGATGGGAAGACGACAAACTAACAAACACCCAGGCCTTGGACCCACGCCTCCCGGTAGGCTCCCTCTCCTCTCCCTCTCCCCTCCATCACACTTCGAACCTTCCTGGGCCTGGATCACCTTCCTGGAAAGCTGACCACCCCCATGCCTCTGGGCGCCACTCCCCTGCCCTACCACCACAGGGCAACATGGGGCCACATCACGCCACCCTGCAGCTCCTGTTGGAAGAGGCTGAATTCCTGGCAACACCCACCCATCAGTCCCAAGCCCCGAGCATCAGTACCTTCATGCAAAAGGCACTAGGTTGGCTGCTTTATCTCATAAGATGAGAAAATGATGCCCATCACCATAAACACATTGTTAGCTGGTATTGATAGCTGTTAACACCCTGAACAAAGACTAAATGAAAATGATGGAAACTAGTGTAAAAAGTCTATGATGTGCAAAATAACAAAATCTAACCTAGCAGTAGCCACTCCCTACCACTTGTCACAAGGAAGCACGAGGAACTCACAGCAACTGGCAGCTCCTGCAGGGCGGACACTGCAAGGTCAACGCTAGAACATAAATGACAGGGAACAACTGAGGATGACCCTGAGCTTCACAGACTCCAGGGCCTCCCCTGGGGCCATGGGTCCCAGTGGAAATTTGGTGGCACGGGCAGCACCTCCTGGCACAGTCAGGGTGGGGGCTCCCCTCAACCAGTTTGGTCCACCTCCATGGACCCTTTGGCCACTGAGTCACACATGCTGGCCCCACCACCTGCTTTGAGAACCAGGGCTGTGCCCTACCCTCTTCTCCCTACCCCCTCATCTGCCTGTGCACCCAGGGGGCCACCACCACTGCCTGGGGGTCCTCACGTTTGGAGGAAGCAGCTGAGGCTACCAGCGGCTGCCAGCTTGCTGGCATGGGTCCCAGACATTGCCACCACCACAGCCACTGATAGCACCTGAGGAGACCCTCTGAGCCCCCTGCCTGAGGCCAAGCAGCAGAGAAAGCCACATCCTCTAAGGCCCCCATGGGTGAGTACCCATGTGACAGCCCCCGCCAGACCACTGCCCTTGCCTGGAGAAACCACTCCCTAAGACCCCTCTCCTCCAGCTTGCCCAGCCACACAGGGAAAAAAACTCACTTAAACTGTCCACCGGCCTGCTTCCACTCTGTGACACAGCGGCTGCCCTGGGGACTGCTGAGCTACAGGGACCCCCAGTCAAAGAGCCAACCCACTGACCATGAAGCAGAAAGGCCCTCCTGAGGAGGGCCCCAGGGATCGCAGAGTGGACTAGTATCAAACACCCCTCCACGATGGACCCCATAACAAAAGGCATAAATAACAAAAAAGAAAGGTCGACGATGGCAAATGATTCTCCAATAAAAAAATACGAGAGGAAGAATGACAAACCATTTACATCACCAGAGAGACTGAAGCAAGGTGGGCAGGCAGTCCACAAATTTAAAAGGCAACAACTTTTCTACAGACCAGCCATGATCAGCTAGAAAACAAGGCAAGAGGAGGGGATGATCCCAGTGACAACAGCAGCAGAAGTGAGAGACGCACAAACATGCATGAATAAAGCAATGAAGCTCCAGTGATGGAGGCAAAGGACTTTTTACATAAATCAAAATCTGGATGAGAAGAAAATACAAAAGCTCTCTCCTCTCCCCACCCCCAACCCCCACCATAAAACCCACAGAGCAACCTTAATCAAAATCCCAATCAGAATATGGGATGAATTTAGTTTATTCTAAAGTTTATCTAGCGGCCGGGTAGGGTGGCTCATGCCTGTAATCCCAGAACTTTGGGAGGCCAAGGCAAGAGGATCACTTAAGCTCAGCAGTTCAAGACCAGCCTGGGAAACTTGGAAAAACCCCACCTCTACAAAAAACACAAAAATTAGCCAGGCGTGGTGGACCCCGCTACTTGGGAGGCTGAGGTGGGAGGATCACTTGAGACCAGGAAGTCAAGGCTGCAATGAGCCGTGTTCGCACCGCTGCAATCCAGCCTGGGTGACAAAGTAAGACAGTCTCAAAAAATAAATAAAATAAATAAAATAAGGCTTATCTATTCAAAGGAATATAGGAGAAAGGTTGGCGGAGAATGAAAAAAGAAGAGGAATGAAGAGGTAATGGCCCTTTAAGATAACTAAGTCTTACCAAAAGCCACCGTAACTTACACGGTAGATAGTGGCACAACAATAAAGCAGTAAATTAGAATGGAGAATCCAGAAACACAGGAGAAACACTCAGAACACAGCAGCTACTTAACCCATGACAAACCTGCCAAAACAGAGAGGTCAAAGTGGCTGACTAGGAAATTAGGTTGGAATCCTATAAAAAAAAAAAAACTACATCCACAAATCACACCGTATCTAAAATACATTTTAGATCAAAGAAGAGATGTAAATGTAAAAAAATCGAGACTATCAAGTATTAGCAGAATATGCAGGAGGGTGGTTATATACATTAGGGTACAGAAACCCATTCTCTAAGTAAGATACAAAATTCAGGAGTAATTAAAGCAAGCTTGATAGTTTTAACAATGTAAAATTTCCAAATTTTTACATTGCCAGAGATGTCTTTAAACAAATTCAAAGGACAAGTGGCATCTGAGAGAAAATATCCGCAATATATATAGAAAATGAGGAATAACCCTGTGTACCAAGAACACCTAGAAATCAACAAGGAAAAGCTTCACAAATCAAGAGAAAAACAGGCAAGGATGAAAAAGAGAATTAGAAAGAGAAATTCAAATTAGTAGTAAGCACAGAAGAAACAGCTTCTTATAATTCACAATTTTTACAAACACAAAATGAAATAAGCTATCACTTTACACCCACTTGACTGAATGAAACACAAAGACTGATCATGTCCAGAGAGCGTCGATGTCCAGAGAGTGTCGATGTCCAGAGAGTGTCAGTGGGGACACCGCTGCCCCACACACTAGCATCATTTAGAATGGTCACCACCTGTCAAGAGAGCAATCTGGCAATATCTGTTGACACTCTGAATGCCCAAACCATTCAGCCCCGCAAGTCCACTTCTAGGAATCTATGCTACGAAAACAACCCCATGCAGATGCAAGGGTTTAATGTACGAGACTCCACCTGTCAGCATTCTCCGTGAGTGTGAAAAACGGAACAACCCAAAAGTTCAATAAATAAACAGTCACATATTATGCAAGCGTCAGAATAACGCTGCTTGCGCAAAGGACAAGGGACCATCTCTAAGACACACAGCTGGTGAGCGGATCGAACTGCAAATCTTATTTACAGTAGGATCCCACTTTGTTGAAAAATACTTTTAAAATATGTATGTATTTAAAAGACAAGTAAAATACGTCCACAGACAGAAAAAGAAAACGGGAGGAATCGCCACCAAACTGTGAACAATGATTATCTTTGTGGGCACTGAATGGGGCAGTGGTGAAGTTAGGGGGAAGCTTTCATTTTCTATTCTACATGATGCATTTCTGTAAAGTTCTAATCTTTATAATTAGTACATTTGAATTTCATAATCAGAAACAGATATTTAAAGGATCTCAAGATCTATGTTATATAGCTCTATCATATGTTAGGCGCCACCCCCGTTGATGGAGCCAGGGTCCTTCTCAACTCCAAATTCCACTGCCAGAAAAATGGCACCTTTCTTCTCCAGAGATACAAGATAATTGCGAGAAGGCAAAATTTTTTTAAAACAGAGACATCAAGCCAGGTACAGTGGCATGTACCTGTAGTCCCAGCTACTCAGGAGACCGAGGCAGGAGGATTGCCTGAGCCCAGGAGTTCAAGTCCAGCCTAGAGACAACATAGCAACACCTCCATCTCAAAACGCAAAACAAAAACTACAGATGGCAGATCTATTTAATGATTAGCTCTGGTGGGGAGCACTGCCCCTCAGACCTTGACCTACCCAAGCAGCCTCTAGTTGTTAAAGACTTCTCAGTATTGGAGAATAAAACAAAATAGACAAGCACTTTAAAATTCACCAGAAGTTAGGCCGGGCACGGTGGCTCACGCCTGTAATTGCAGCACTTTGGGAGGCTGAAGCAGGCAGATCACGAGATCAGGAGATCAAGACCATCCTGGCTAACACGGTGAAACCTCGTCTGTACTAAAAATACAAAAGTTAGCCGGGAGTGGTGGCGGGCGCCTGTAGTCCCAGCTACTCGGGAAGCTGAGGAAGGAGAATGGCGTGAACCCAGGAGGTGGAGCTTACAGTAAGCCGAGATTGTGCCACTGCACTCCAGCCTGGGTGACAGAGTGAGACTCCGTCACAAAAAAAAAAAAAAAAAAAAAATTCACCAGAAGTTCCCAAGGAATTTGCTTCCACACATAGAAAATAATCGAGTCCGTTTTTTCTGAAAACTTGCTTTAAAGTCCAATTGTGGGGATTTGATGTAGATGGTTCCATTTTAACTTCTTCAGCCAGAGGAAATCTAAAAATTCTTCCTTCCAGCTCAACAGAGCAAATCCACCTACTGCTCTGCAAAAGGAGGACAAAGATCCTCCTGGGGCCGCAGAATTCAGCAGCTTTTCCTTGGATTCCTAGGACAACCAACAGCTGTGGGACACTAGGCCAAGCTTCAAAAGGCAGCCTGCCAGCCATCGGACTCCCAGGCACCTGTGGAGTCCTAGGCGGTTGAGGAACTGGGGGAGGGCTTGGTTTCAACCTATTTGCCAAATCACCAGCAAAACAAGACATGTTCAAAAGAAACAAGTGCACATAAATAAGCCAGGGCTCTACTCCCCAGCCCATCAGGTCACCGGCCCAGCCCCTCAGTGTGCTGGTGAGCAGGACAATCAGAAAAGGCCTCTCTTCCTGGAATAACTAACAGTCTCTCACCATCCCCACTCCCACTGCCCGATGTGTCATGGGAAGTCTCTGAAATTCAGGTTTGGGAAATCAGTTGACATGAACTACAGCATAATATTAGATGTCTGATTAAAATCATCAAGATGATACAAAGGTCTAATCGCAGAGGTGCTCTCCACTCCCAACCCCCACATCAAATGGAGCTTTCTCTCCTTCAAATCAGACTTCTTTTTTTTTTTTTGAGAGAGAGAAGTTCTCACTCTGTCACCCAGGGGAGGGCAGTGACACCCTCACAACTCACTGCAGCCTCAACCTCCTGGGCTTAAGCGATCCTCCCACCTCAGCCTCCCAAGTAGCTAGGACCACACCCGTGAGCCACCACATCTGGCTAATTTTTCTATTTTTTTGTAGAGGTGAGGTCTCCCTGTGTTGCCCAGGCTGATCTCAAACTCCTGGGCTTAAGCGATCCTCCCTCCTCAGCCTCACAAAGTGCTGGGATTACAGCATGAACCACCGTGCCCAGCCTTCAAATCACATTTCTAAGGAGCCTAACAAGCAGCAGGCCTTTCCAGTTACAGCGCATGGAAGTAACAAAGGCAGCCTCAGCCAGCATCCAGCGCAGTCCCAGCAGACAGGGATAATGAAGCGGACGTGGGCCTCACGGGAGGGAATACTGTCCCCCACCTCCACACCATGCTAGTGAGAAAAACAGACTGCCTGCAGCTCCAAAACATACAGCAACTTACCTATCAAACAGGGACCTCTGACGCTTCACATTATCACGTAAGAAATGTTTCTTGCCCAGCAGCCCCCAGAGGATGAACAGCTCCCTCCACCTGAAAGGGGAAGAGGGCCCAAGCTGCAGGCGCCCTGGCCTATCGAGGCCGTGGACAGGAGGCACCCGAATGTCTCCCCAGACCCCACCCTGCTGCAGAGGCCTCTGCAGCCCATCACCCTGCAGCGCTGCTGTTCCCGCTGCTTCTTGGAGAACAGGGGCAATTTAATCTACAAATCCTGTAAATCCTTGTTAAAAAAAAAAAAAAAAAAAAAGAAGGGTAAAATAAAACGTCTGCACTAGCAAGGCTGGGACTTGGCATCAGCTGCCACCTCCTACAGAACCCAGTGGGGAGTGGGCTCCAGAGCCTCCCCGTGATGCTGGCAGTGCCTCGGCCAGACACCTGCCCCCGCCACCCTCCTGCGTCCTCACTGCACCCCTCCCCACCCCATGTCACATCTTCTGCTCATACCTCCCCACACCCTCCTCTCGCCTCTGGATGCACCTCTCAACACGCCCCTGACCGCGTCTTCCTCCCATGCTCTGAACTGTCCACTAGGGAAGCCAGCTGCAGAAATCACTCTCCTAGAATTCACTTGGTAAAATATGTGTTGTTATTGGCCCACCTACTTTGCTCCCAACCCACAGCAAGGGCTCTCCAGGGCTACCAAGCCCCTAATGGTCAGGAACTGCCCCCCAACCCCCATCTCCAGCTCTGACCTACACAAACTACATAATCCTGCTGCCAAAAACTTGGCCCTCCCTATGCCCAGGGTGCCACACTCCAGGCTGGCCCTTCTGCCGAGAGGGCTCTTCTGGCCTGGGCTCTGAACGGGCAAACCCACCCACTCTTCTAGGATGGGGTCCATGATCCACCCCAACCTACCGTGGGGCTCTCACATCTTCCAGACTGTGCCTCTCTAGGAGGGCCTTGGACCCAGAGCCAGAATGGGGCTCTGATGCCACTGCACATTCTCCAGCAACCCCTTCCATGCCCTTCCTCCTGATCCCACCCAGCTCTAAACTGGGAACAAGAAAGCTGGAATATAGTAGCTTCTCAGAAAATACCTACTGAGTACACGGCTGGATAGATGGACAGTGCTCCAGGCAAAGGGACTCGGGGGTAAGAAAAGTGAAGGGTACCTGCTCCCGGTTGTACCACTGCAGAGTCCTTGAGTGTCAAAGGACTGAGAGGTGAATGACGGGCAAGGTGAGACCTACCAGGTTAGTGTCCCGCACCCCTTTGTTTCCACTATTAGATTAAGCCACCCTATGTGACAGATAAAAGGAGCAACACATACAAGGAGTTAGGCCGGGGTTGCCAAAGTGAGGAGTGGGAATGCTGCCAGTCCAGGGGTCCCCCACGGCAGCTCCCCAAATGAAACCAAGACAAGTTGGAGATGAGGCTGCCTCTAGGTGTATCAAATCAACTGAAGTAGCACCAGTCCTCAGTGCTGATTAAGCACAGGCACGCCTGTGATCAAGAAGAAAACCATTACTTAATAAAATGCAGTTAATTTAGAAGCTGAAATCTGTGAAAGCTCAAGGGAAAGACACAATCAGGAGTTCTTGGTCTGGAGGGGCTTCTGCTCTCAAAGCTTCCAACCCAACACAGCACAAAGACGTCTTCCCCAACAACCGCACATCCCACCTGCAAAACGATGACACGCTCCTCTCCAGGTACCTGAACCTTAGGACTCAAAGGGTAGAGAAAGTTCACAGGCAGAATCTTCACAATACATGCACAAAACAAAGGCACTTCTAGTAGGAGCTGTGGGTCAGGAAAATCTCGACTTCACCCAATGCCATTCCCGAGACAATCAGCCATCAATCTGACCCACTCAGTCCTGCCTCAGGGGCTCAGAATCTAGCAGTCAGGCCAGGTGGGAAGTGCAGGGACCTGTGGCCAAAATCGGCCCACTCATCACTCAGCTGACAGCTTTCACGCGTACTAGCCAGAATCAGTTAGAGGCTGGAGGTAGTGCCAGGTGTCTGAAACCCAGCAGGCAGGTTGGTAAAACACTCACACATCCTAACCCTGGTGACTGCACTGACTGCGTGCTTTACTGTAGCAGAACAGTTGCACACATCTCATCTCCTCCATCCATAGTAACTCAGTGGCTGGTGAGGAATGGGACACAGACCTCCACGTGCCCTTCTCGGGATGAGTCAAGACAAACTCTGAGCAGTGACGCTCTACAGCTGGCTCACACGTGGAGGCAGAGCCTGGCTTCCCAGAGCTTCCAGTTCCTAACACACGCCTGGCCCCACTGCACCACACCCGTGACAGCTGCCACCAGCTCCGGATAATTCAGACAGATGCTAGAGCACATGGCTCACTTATTACACCAAAAGACTGAGAAACAGAAACTGTGTTTTAATTGTACAATGCACACACTTGCTTCCAGAGAGACCTGAGAAATCCATCATCCCTAAATGCATGCGGTTACTCAACTAGTGGCTTTACTATTTTTGAAACAATGGATTTTTCCAAGACAGTTGATAATCAAACCAACTGCGGGAAACCATAAACGATACTTGTTTATTAAATTAAGAACAGATACAACAGTTCAGAGGAATTCATATTTAGAGCTGCCTTGCTGGAGAATCAATTCCAGGAATGCCAAACCAACCAAATGAAAAAAAATTATATATATATATATATATACATATATATATATATATATATATATATATATATATCTCACACACACACACTCGTGTCACTTAACGACAGGCATATATATGTATATATATATCACACACACACTCATGCGTCACTTAACGACAGGGATGTATTCTGAGAAATTTATCATTAGGCAATTTCATCATTGTGAGAACATCATAGAACATACGTTATACAAACCTACTACAACACACTAGGTTATAGGGTACAGTCTACTGCTCCTAGGCTGCAAAGCTAGGCAGCATGTTACTGTGCTGAATGTGTGTATCTAAACATAGAAAAGGCACAACGTTAAAATATGCTATAAAAGATAAAACATGGTGCCCCTGTCTAGGGCACTTTCCATGAATGGACCTTCCATGAATGGAAGTTGCTCGGGTGAGTCAGTCCGTACACTAGTGCAGACTTTATAGACATTGTATACCTAGGCTACATTTTAAAAAAATATATTTTTATTTTTTAAATATTTTATATATTTTTTTAAAATAAAGTAACTGCACTACAACTTTACCACAATGTCACTAGGCAATAGGAATTTTTGAGCCCCATGATATTCTTATGGGACCTCTGTCATATATGCTATCATTCACCAAAACAATGTCATGTGATGCATGACAGTACATATGTATCTCAACTGAAAATCCTAAATGTCAATAGTGTTCTCCGACTCACTATTTACTAATAAGAGTTTCCTCAGAACTGTCTTTGCCTGAGAGTTTCACGACCAAACGTCTCTCTGCACAGTTGATTCTAGGGACAAGAAGTGCTAAGAATCCATGTTGGCTTCAAGTGCAAAATGGAAAACACCTTAGTGTCCCACCAACCACGTCAGCCACCTTCCTGGAGGGCTAGCTCCCAGACCCTTTTCCCATCGCTGTATAGGGCCCACGTCATCTGTGGCATTTCCACGACTCTCCGATGCCAGCCATCAGTCTCTCGGCTTGTGTTGAAAATTAGCACCTTTACGTGCCCACCAGTGGTCATGAGTCCTAGTCATGCCCACCCTGTTAAAAACAAATCTGATACAAAATGGGCCCCAGCAGGAGACAGGGACAGAACACGGACCTCACACTCTCTCCAGCTCAGACTCAAAGGCCAGCACTGCCCCATCACAGCCGAGTGCTCTTAGGCAACCCACAGCTCAGCTACCTGTCCCCAGCCTCCTCGTTGCAAAGTTAAGACAAGACCTGCCTTCTAGATTTGTCGGGAAATTATTTAAAATGATAAACAAAGAGGGATGGAACTCAACACACAGAATTGCCCGATGATGTGTGTTTCATTCCAGTGGTTTCGCCATCAAAACCATCTTTAAATGTTGGAGTGTTTCCGTTTCCAGACAACTAGAGATGAAAATATTTTCACAGTCACTCAACGCAGGTACCTCAACCACGTATTTTTTCTCTTAATTTTGATCCTTGAAACACAAAACAACAGATGCACCACCTTACATTAAAACAGCCCTTTAGAGTTTAGAGTTTATGACAGGCCGCCTCTGCATTCTCTCACTAGGCCGTAGCTGTAACTCACAAACCTGACCCTTAAAACTCCCAGGACAATAAGAGAAGCCACACCATGGAGCTCTTGCTGTCATAAAATATCTCGCATCAGTTCAATATTGCATCTCGTCTGTGCCTCAAAACAACCACAGGCAAGAGGCCTCACGCGGGTATTGCAGATGCTGAGAAAGACTCTCAAGCCAGAAGACTGGTCCTGGGCCCCAGGGATTAGTGGCAGGGCCAGGCTGGAACTGAGCTCCTGTTACTCCAAATCCCATCCTCTTTTCTGACCTCCCAGTCCCTTTCTCATAAAACCAAAGCATCTTCTCCAACCAGGCCAGGACACACGCAGGAGAGAGTCAGGCAGGAGGAGGCTTCTGGAAGGGAAAGCAGAGTGGCTGAGAGCCCTGGGACAGAGTCTGACATTAGGTACAGGACAAGTTTGGAAAGATCCAGATGGAGCGGGAAGGGAATCTGGGCGTGGGGGTGCCTCCTTCCAAAGTGCATCCACATCCGAGGTGACTGCAGGGAGACGCAGCGCTGACTTTGGCAGCAGGGACCACCCGGGTGCAGAGAACCCAAACAACTGAAAATCCAAAAAGGAATCTCAGTGCACAGTAAGAAAGCTCATTCTTTGGGCTGGTTACCTTCCCAAACACGTTCTCCTCTGGCCTATGTGAAACCGACGTTGCACTGTACAACTCTGAAGCTCTTTCTTGACTGCCCACTGAATGAGGGTCTGTGCTACATTCCAGGAGGATCCAAATGTGAACACAGCTAGGTTCCAGCTCTGGGACTCGGGAAAAGGAGGCACAGGCAGCAGGACATGTGCTGCAAGGAGACTACTGCTCCCGTGTTTCATTCACTCACTCATCCAACAACAGCACTAAGGCTCTGCTGTGTGCCAGGCACTTTTCTAGCTACTGGGGATCCAGAGGTGAACAAAGTCTTTTACAATTGAGTGGTAAGAGACTGACAATAAACAAACAAGTATATAAATAACACACTGAATGTTGAGTACTAAGGAGAAACACAAAGCAAGGTTAACAAGAGAAGGGGAAGTAACGCTAATTTATGTAGGGCTGTCAGGGAGCCGGCAATAAGTGAGGGGCCGGCCAGGTGGGCATCTGGGGGTGGCTGATGCCAAGGGGGTGGGAACAGCAGGTGCAAAGGCCTGGAGGCAAGAGTGGCCTGGCAAATCCGAGGACCAAGGGATAAGATGAAAGAGCCTACATTCAGTTAGGATCTCCGGGATGGACATGGGCCAAGATGACAGGTGGGGATGGGGTGGGGACAACCCAGGGCAGATCTGGGCAATGAGCCTGTCTGCCTGGAGCCAGGAGAGCCTGGAGGGGCCATTCTTGGGAGCGAGCGGGGGAACTTGAGAAAAATCAGGCCGAGACACATGGATGTGGAGGGAGCACTGGAAAGCCACTGAAGGCCTGGGCAATGGTGACACACCTGGCCTGGGCCAACTTGCAGACTCAGGGGTACCCCACAGCCCAACCTGGGAAACCTCACAGCCGGCACAGAAATCATAAAGCACACAGCAATGGCACCCCACCAGTACGCAGGGTTCCACATAGAGAGCCTGGCTGCATGATCTTGAGGTCACCTAACTCCCGGGCCTCCCTTGTGTGTCTGGACAGGGAGAGAGGGGAGGATTGGCTTCAGGAGAGGCGAGAAACGACAGTGCCCATGACAGCTGACTCAGCCTGTGCCAGCAGGCTGCTCTGAGACATGAGCTGGACCCAACCCAGGCGGTGGGCAGCAGGGGGGTGGGGAGGAACTCTGGGAAAGGAAGGAGCCAGAGAAGTCTCCCTGTGGGCGCTCGGGCCAACCACCACCCAAGGGAACAATGAGCACCCCCAGCCCCCGATGGGCACACAGGCTGCCTCCTGGTGAGCAAGCGTCTCAAACCTGACCTACATCTGGGAGGCCTGCCTGGTCACCAGGGACTACCTTACACCCTACCTGTGCCTCCACGTCCCCAGTGCTCACGGCCACCTGGCAAGGGTGAGGAACTGAGACTGCGTTGAGGACACACAGCCTGTGAGTGGTACAGCCAGGGCCGCTGCCCAGGCCCAGAGCTCTCTCCGTTTCTCTAAGGACCAGGCTGCAAGGCAGGGCATGTGATCTCTGCCGAAGACATTCAAGCCACCCAGTGATGTGTGCTGGGCCTCGATCCCCACCGACCGCCAGTCCTCTCCTCCCCTGGACAGTAAAGGTTTCTCCAAGACTTCAGACGACGGTGTCACCTGAGGCCCTCACCTATTAAGTCACCGGGGCAGGTATGCATGGCAGAGGACACGGAGGAGTGCCGGAGAGGAGCTGAGGCCTGGAGGGGGCCTCTGCAGCCAGGCTCAACCCCCACTCTCCCCACTCCAACAGCCCTCACTGCAGCCACCGCGGCCCAATCCAAACAAAGCCCAGCCTGATGCCAATCTCACCATCAACTGTTTTTCCTCTGACTTCCTCAGTTTTGTCTAGGAAAAATCAAAGTGTCTTATCCCATCTCTAAGCTTCCAGGGGTGTGATCAGTGTCTTTTACAATTACCTTTTACTTTTATCCAGCATTTCTTAGCTCGGTTGGCAAACTGGATATTTATGCACCTCCATTTCACAATCCATCTCCACCGATTATTCCTGTAAAACATTTTTTTTTTTAAAGTTTAGAGTTACTTAAGAAGGTTATGTAAACAAGTTAACCAGCAAGCCACAACTTGGGTCTGCGGTGTCAGAGAAAACATGCAAGGTGCAAGAGAATGAGGAGCTGATGGTCACCAGCTTTACCTCCTTCCAGCACCCACTCCTGCTCACACACACTCACACCCCGTGGGACTCAGCCTGCAGCTTCTCCCAGCCCAAGAGCCAGACAGTGGGGAGGAGCACAGACCACACTTCCTAACAAATGAGAGGGAAGACTTCGTGCCCCATTGCTACTGCCATCACCCAGTCCCAGCCCAGAGAGGGAGCCCACTCCAAGGGCCCCCCTGCCAGTACTGCTAGAGCCCACCGAGGGCTGCCAGCACACAGCTACGAGCTCCAGCTTTATCTACTCACGCCCTGGACACTGCCCGGAGCCCCAGCAGGTTCCACGTGTCCTTGTCACCCCAGCCCTCCTGCCCCGCGGATCCTAAGCTCAGGAGACCCTCTCCAGCCCAGGCTGTGGGGGAAGGCAGCCCCCACGGTCACCCAGGAATCAGCGCAGAGTGCAGGGCATCCTGGACTCCCCGGACTGGGAAACCCAGTTCCTGTCCCCCTGCGTAGTGGCCACACCTCTGGGAGGGGAGAAACCCCTGCCTCACCTCACTGGAGGGACCCTGACCCAGAGGCCTGAGAAAAAGCCACCGGCAGGCTCCTGGCACCTGCCAACCTGCACCTTAGGAAAACTTGTCCCACTTCAACCTGCAAAGCTCTCAGGTCATTACTTCTAAAACCACTGTCCTTTCTGAAACAGGAAGGAAAATAGAAAAACAAACAAAAACAAAGAGGCACAGAAGGCTGAAGACGCCAGAGGCAGTTTAGCCCAAAAACAAAGTGCCAGACACAAGATGCCAAGTTTGGGGCGCTTCCTCCACCGCATGCCTGTTTAGGAGCTGACTGCACTCAACCACAGATTTACGTCTGGTGCCTGCCAGGTCGTTATCTGAAGAGATCTGAAAAAGTAAGCCTTTCTTCTGCCAGTAAATACTAAGTTAAGACTAGCAGGCCCCTCTAAGGCTCTGCTCTCCACTGGGGTGCTGCAGGACAGGCCCCTCCGCGGGCGTTCCCCGCACCCTCCCTCCGCGTCGGCCCGGAGAAAAGGAAGTTCGCCCCTAGCCTGGGCTTACCAAGGCCCGCCGCCCGACCCATGGAGCCCTGCTTGGGGACCGGGGGCCTCGATGTTCTCCTTCACCATCTGCGGCCAGATCTCCCTCCAGCAGCCTTGCCAGGCAGTGCCTGGCGTGGAGAAGGGGCCCTGCAGAGGCGCAGGTCCGCACCGTGCCCCCAACCCGGCGCCTGCAGCCCAGGGGCAACAAGGTGTGGGGTTTTTGAGTTTTTCCCTCTGGGCCTTATTATACAGGGAAAGGGAAGGGGCGAAGATCCGGGCTCGAGTTCTCCCAGGGAAGTGAACCCAGAGGCGATCCCAAACTCAGTAGTTGCCGCCCGGCACGGGGACTTGATGCCGGCGCCAAGCCGGGCAGCGGAACGCACCAGCGGCCCGACCAGCCCGGCGAGACGCGAGCGGGCGGCCCCGCCAGACAGCGCCACTTGCCGGCGCCGAGAGTGGCCCCTCGCCGCGGTGAGCCCCTCCCGGGATGCGAAAGCCATCGCCTAGTCCCCGCCGCACCCGCCCGCCCATCGTGGGAGGAGGATGGGCCGGTCCGAGAGGCGTAAGGCCGCCGGGCTGCACCCCTAGATCCCAGCGGCGGCCTCCCCGCAGCCCCGCCGAGTCCGGGGGGCAGCGCTCGGGAGCTCTTGGCCCGCAGCTTACGCGCCGCCCCCCACGCGTCCGGGTCCCCGCGGCGCCGCGGGCGGCCCAAGGCTGCCGCCGCCAGCGAGTCAGGCAGCCGAGGTTCCCCAGCTTACCTGGCCAGGGCGCGGGGCTGCCCCGGTCCGCCGCCGTCCTCGCCGCGCCGCCGTCCTCGCCGCGCCGCCGTCCTCGCCGCGCCGCCGTCCTCGCCGCGCCGCCGTCCTCGCCGCGCCGCCGTCCTCGCCGCGCCGCCGTCCTCGCCGCGCCGCCGTCCTCGCCGCGCCGCCGTCCTCGCCGCGCCGCCGTCCTCGCCGCGCCGCCGTCCTCGCCGCGCCGCCGTCCTCGCCGCGCCGCCGTCCTCGCCGCGCCGCCGTCCTCGCCGCGCCGCCGTCCTCGCCGCGCCGCCGTCCTCGCCGCGCCGCCGTCCTCGCCGCGCCGCTGCCGGGTCTCTCCCGGGGGCTGAGCTCCCGCAGAGCTCGCGCCTAGCCGCACACCTCGACTGCTGATTAGCCCGACAGCTGAATAGCGGCGGGAGCCTACCGCGAGCGGAGTACGGAAAGCCCGCAGGGCCGCGCCACATGGCGCACGCGCACTGAGCTGCATACCTAGGTGACAAACGTGCACGTTTTGCACGTGTATCCCAGAACTTAAAGCATGACAAAATTTTTTTTTAAAAAACCCTGATGCCATTATTAGGAACAATTTGAATAGATCAGTCACAACCTATATGCTGGCTTCTGGTGTCTCAATTTGTCCTGGGAAAACTGTTGTAAAGCAATAGTATGTCAGTCCTTATATACTTATCCATCTCCAATCTGGAAAGACAAGGCTTATATGTTTCCTTTTTAGTCCCCTAATTTCTCTTTATGACACAAATCCAGTTGGCAGTATTAAAGATGGGGCTGATTCTCCTTTACTTATCTGGAATATGCTACCATTCCAGATAAGTAATAGTAAAATGGCCATTTCCTCTTGCTAATCAAATGTCGTTTTTGAACACAAAAGCCACTGGGTTTGGAGTATGAAACATAAACATAAAACATATCATACACTATCTGTGACGTTTTCATAAACTCACATGATCCTTTTATATTTTTCTCTTATATAAAACGAAATACTTTCCATTAAAAATTGAGATATTTAAATGAGAAAATGCTTGCCAATGTTATTAAAATATAAAATTTTATTATTTATTCAAAGAAAATGGTCACTTTTGGTTTGTGCTAAAAAATAACAGTAACAGTAGAAGCCTGCTTTAAAATATTTTAAGTGTGCGATATCATATTACTTCTCATTTACTCTTTGCGTTTCTAGAGAGCCAAGTTTATTTTTTTCTCAATTCAGTTTAAAATCAGAGGGAACAAAATTTGAAACGTGACATAATATCAAGGTTAACATGCTAGCTATGTAATAACTGTAAAATTTGGCCACAAATGCATTTGCTTTGAGAAAAATGATCATGTGAAATTCCTAAATATTTGGGCCATATGGAAGATGATATCAGAAGAATAATATATTCTCTGTATGTCAAAGGAGGAGGATAATAAAAACCGTAGTTATTAGGTTAGTACAAAAACAATTACAGTATTCGCCATTGCCAAAAATTGCAATTGCTTTTGCACCAAGGTAGTAATAAAAGTATGGTTGAGTTTCTGTAGAATTCCGGCAAAGGATGAGCATCCTTAATCTGAAATCCAAAACTCTCCCAAATTCGAAATTTTTTGGGTGCCCATATGATGCCTCAAGTACAAAATTCTACACCTGACCTCATGCAATGTATCATAGCCAAAGCACAGGTACACAACACATAGTTTATTCAGTGCTTTCAAGAGAAAATTAAAATTAACATGAGGCTACATGTAAATAAATTTTGTGTTTAGACTTGGGTCCCATCCCAAGATCTCTCATTATGTATATGCAAATACTCCAAAATTCAAAAAAATTCACAATTTTGGATTTTTCAGGTCCCAAGCATTTTGATTAAGAGATACTCAACCTGTCCCTGTTTGGAAGCAGTTCCCTCTAGATAGATTAAACTGGCCTAACAAAAGGTAGTATCTGTTGCTGGAGTTGAGAAAGAATAAATATTTACATACAAAAGTGAGGGCAAAAGAAGACTACAAAAACATTCTTATTGAAATTAAATAAAATTATGCCCTTTTCTCTGTGTAGCTCTTTGGCCAGTTTGAACAATGAATACCAAGAGCCAATGACTGAATTCTAATTATATATTTGGTGATTATGCTCAGACAGACTTGAAGAGAGAAATTTCATAAGCATCATTTTGGCATTTGATTTTCTAATAACAGAGCATCTCAAAATATTTTTATTCTTCATAATTCCCAGAATTTTTTTTTTTTGGTAAATCTTGCATATGACTCCAACGTGCAAGTTATTTGTAACACTACCAATAACTTTTCTATTCTTTTGGAGGAGAAAATATTCCATATATATATATGTATATATGTACACACACACTACATATATAGTTTATATATTCCGATTCTGCCCTATTAATCTATAAATGTATGCACGAAGAAAATATGTAATTACTGGGACTGTAAACTATATTTATATCAGATAAAATAGATAAATAATTCTATTAGTTTTATTTTTCAAATATATCTGTGTATTAGGCCGTTTCCTTACAGCTGATAAAGACATACCTGAGACTGGACAATTTACAAAAGAAAGAGGTTTAGTTGGACTCACAGTTCCACGTGGCTGGGAAGGCCTCACAATCATGGCGAAAGGCAAGGAGGAGCAAGTCACATTTTACGTGGATGGCAGCAGACAAAGAGCTTATGCAGAGAAACCTCCAGTTGTAAAAACCATCAGATCTCGTTGATGAGATGAGAGCATGTGGGAATGTGGGAGTTACAATTCAAGGTGAGATTTGGGTGGAGACACAGCTAAATCATATCAATCCATTTCCTGAAATTTGCTCTGTGATAAAAAGTTAAGAGTCAGATTATCTGAGTCAAAAAAAGATATAAACTGGCATTTTAGCTTAACTAGTTATAAAAGTATAGGTTAATTTAAGAAAAGCTGAGGGTTTTAAAAGAATATTTAGTTTTATGCATAGAAAAAAGGTATAAAAGTAAAAACCTGCTGCTCATTTGGGTATTAAAGGTATAAGTGTTAAGTATAAATGTTATATTTTCTAATTGGCTAGTAATTTATGTACTTTTATTTACATCTTTTTGTGTATTAATTTTTCCCAAAACATACTGAAAGTTTTTGTTTTAATACTTTTCTATTGATCTTCACAATTTTCAACTTCTTCAATCCAAATTTATCGATTAGTAATGATGTTGCTTTTTTCTTTTTAAAGTTTTTACCTATTATGTTTTCTGCCATATTAATCAGTATTTTAAAAAATTACTAATGGCTGTAATAGGAGACACACACAATTTGTTAATGAGAATGCATCAAGTTTCTCACCATTAAGCATAATGTTTATCTGTCTTCATACAGCCATATATGTTTTATATATGTGTGCACGTGTTCCCTTGTGTACGTGGGTTGCATATGTGTGTGTAGTTATTATGTTAAGACATACCATATCCTTTATTAAACTCATTGAAATTAAGAAATGTTAATATATTCAGATGCATTTTGGTATCTTTGGAGATAATACTGTGATATTTATTTAGTAATATGATATGATGAAAAATACTAACAAAGCTATTCTCACATTGTTGCCACGAATCTCTCGTGGTCATCGACTATCTTTTTTTTTTTGAGACGGAGTCTCGCTCTGTCACCCAGGCTGGAGTGCAGTGGTGCAATCTCGGCTCACTGCAAGCTCCGCTTCCTGGGTTCATGCCATTCTCCTGCCTCAGCCTCCCGAGTAGCTGGGACTACAGGCGCCCGCCACCACGCCCAGCTAATTCTTTGTATTTTTAGTAGAGACGGGGTTTCACCGTGTTAGCCAGGATGGTCTTGATCTCCTGACCTCGTGATCCACTGCCTCAGCCTCCCAAAGTGCTGGGATTACAGGCGTGAGCCACCGCACCTGGCTGGACTATCATTTTTAATAGAACGCTCAATTCAGTTTGCTAATATTTTATTTGGTGCTTTTGGGCATACATTTTCAGGTTTTTAATTGGAATTGCAATGTCATGCTGACTTCATAAACATAATTCCAAGATTGCCTTTCTCTTCAAATGTTCTGAAACATTTTAATTATCAAGGGAATTATCTGTTCCTGAAGTTTGGATAGATATTACTCAAAATACTGGTGAACCCTGGTATCTATTACTGGAATAGGGGAAGTGATGAGAATAAAAAGCTGAGGCCTTTTGTATCTTGGTGATATTCTCTTTTTATTTATTTTGTCTTTATTCAGTAATCTGCTTTGATATCCTGAATCAGTATTTCCTTAGGTGGAGAGAGTTTTCTTATATTGAATATTAGATTCTTTCTCCAATTTTACTTTTAGAACTATAGTTACCATTCTGTACTTAGATCTCCACAACTTATTCATCCTGCCTAACTGAAATTTTGTACACTTTGACAAATATCTCTTCATTTTTTCTTAGCTCCTCATTTATTCTCTTTTTCTATTTTCTAGAAACACTGATTTTTACTTGGGGTATATATTTTTATCCCCCCATATATATCCTTTTCTTATCTCTTATTGTCTCTTTGTCCCTTTCCCTTGGATCCTAAGGAAGACTCCTATGTTTTCATTGACATCATTTAGTGTTCTATAGCTTTAATTCTTTTCTTCATTCGTTCTAATGCAGCCTCTAGTGTTCCTTTAATATTTTAAGTTTCCTTACAATGCTACCTTCACTCGGTTCTCTTTTTCTTGCCCTGTAATTGGCCAGAAAAAATATTTGCTGTATTTTATATTTTATATCATGTTTTTTCATTTTAAAATACTTTACAGTTACATATTTTAAAATATCTTACTCAAATATTTTAATATATTTTAACACAATGTTTTATCTGAAATATACATTTATATTTCTTGTAATTATTTTATTCACAAACCTTTTATCTGATGTTTTGTTTTATCACATTGTTAAACATTTCTGAAATTATCATGTACTGTGTGTGTATATATATATATATATATATATATATATATATATATGTATGTACTTATCATTAAATAAGGCAGGATCTACACATTGTTTTGATATCCCATAAACAGAGTATACAAGTGTATCTTGGTTCCCTCTCTATCCATCTGTCTCAGCTCATTTTATGCTGCTATAACAGAATACCACAGACTGGGTAATTAATTTACAAAACAGAAATGTATCGGCTCATATTTCTGACAAATTCAGAAGACTAAGAGCATGGCACCAGCATGTAGAGAGGGCTTTCTTACTTCTTCATCTTATTTCTTCATGTTATGGAAGGCAAAATATGAAAAGATGAAAAGTGACAATGTACAAACCGTGTATGTATGTGTGTATGTACCTAAAGGTCCCACTTCTCACCACTGTAGCATTGGTGACTGATTAAGTTCCTAATACATGAACTTTGGGGGACACATTCAAACTATAACCCCATCTGATTATTCGTAGAGTTCTCAACAGATCTCAGGCAGAAGGCTTTTTGATAGGTCCAGCCCTTTATCAATTGTAGATAATTAGAAGTGATACACATCTTTACCAGGCTTCACGCCTTCCTTCTGCCAAGCTTACATTCCTAAACATAAAGCACATCCACATTCACTTGAATTTTTCACCTATATTGAACTTCTTGGAATTCGAGGCCTCAAATCAATGCAGAATAAAAGGAGATAACGGTAAATTTGAAGAATTAAATGATCATGACCATTTTTAAGTCAGGTCTTTCGCAATGACCGTGGTCAATAATGGCCAAGACAAATGGAGATGAATTATACATAGAATGAATACATTAAAATGTCATCTACTTTTCTTTCTCCAGAAGGATTCACTGTTCTATGTGCGCCTCTCATCTGCCTTTTTATTAATTAACCTTTCTACTGAAGTCTGGACGATCTCCAACCAGTATTCCTAGTTTGTGGTATTGTAGAAATATATTTTTGTGTTTTAACGAGTCAACAAAGCATTTGTAAGAAATCATCATAAAAATCTATTAAGCATTCATTTTGCATCAAACATTTATTGCGTAAAATAAGCAGATACAATGAAAATTCTTCTTGATGGTGGAAAGGTATCACTGTAAAAAATCATTATCATCTTGGGTTGCAATACAGCAGTAAACACAGAGATTTTGATATATGTAGGACCTATATTGCTGAGCTTAGCTATGCTCTCTGTATTTTGTTTCTTTGCCTTTCTTGTCAAGTTGTCAGCAATCACTTCACACTACTGAAAATATAATTAATTGCCTTTAGCAGTTCCCTCCCTGCTTCTAACCTTATACTTTGAAGCAGAAGCAGAAAATTACTTTGGCTGAGAGTCAGAGCTAACCTGAACGTTGTATTAAGTGGAGGCCAAAAGTTTCTGAAAATGTACTGGGGGCTTTATTCATGGATGAAAGGGTATAAAACCTTTGTTTTATTGATCTGCACTTCCTAATTTTTATACTTACAACCATTGTCCAAAATTTTATATATTGCTTCAGATGTCTTGTATTCCACACCAATGGAAGGTACCGCGTCTTATTCATCCTTCACCTCCAAGTTCCTACCAAAATGCCTGACATATGATAGGTACTTACTGAAAATTGAATGGAACCAACTTACTGATTATCTATTCTCCCTTGGATATCTCACATGCATCTGAAACTTAGTATGTGGGAAACTGAGCTCATTTTCCTTCTTCCATGCTCAACATTGTCTTTTCCCTCCTGTGTTTCCTATTTTGATGAATAGCCCATATTCTCAACCAATTACCTAGGCCAAGAGCCTTGGAGCCAACCTTTCTCTTTTCCCCTCACTACTCACAACTAATTGATAACCAACTGTTGTCTACCCCCTGCCCCCCACAAAAAACAGCAGATTAATCCATGACCTCCTCTCCACTCTCACTGCACTGTCTTGGTCACAGCCGTCACAATTCTTCGTCTGGAATGTAATATCTCCTAATAGTCCTATCCATTCCAATTCACTTTCCAGATTCCTGACAAAAATAATTTTTCTGAAGAGAAATCTGATCATTAAATTTAGCTGATTGATTGCAAAATTAAGTTCTCCATGTTAGAGATGAGAGTTTGGGAAAAAGAAGGCAGCAAGAATTCACAAAGAAGAATAACAGAGATCAGAAAACTATCCACAGAGACAGCTTCAGAGATTTTCAGGGGATGTGCAGATTTATTGAATCTTCCAATTAATACTGATCAACACAAGTATGTGAGGAAATGGTCAAGGCCAGGGTACAAACCACTAGAAAGGGAAGGCAAAAAAGTCTCCAGAATTCACATAAGGTCATAAGTAGT
Organism: Homo sapiens; assembly: GCF_000001405.40. Lineage (NCBI taxonomy): Eukaryota > Metazoa > Chordata > Mammalia > Primates > Hominidae > Homo > Homo sapiens. Next base: position 190,760 of record NW_025791798.1, read on the forward strand.
TTGTGTTTCCATTAGCCAGGGTAGAAAATCCTCGAATCAGTTAGAGTACTCAGAAGGATATTGTCTCACTAATGTGGAAACAATTCTATCTAGACTGAAAGGTGCTCTGGTTCTACCAAGCAAAGCTTAAAAGCAAACTTCAACACAAGCAAATTATTCCTAAGTAATTTAACTGCATCCCAGAATAAAGCTTAACTATTCAGCACAAAATAAGGTAGAATTCACTATGTCCAGCATTCGATAAGAATATATCAGGCATAGAAATAGGCAGAAAAATGATACATATTGAAGAGAAAAAAATCAATCAAGAGAAACAGACCCACAATGACACAGTTGCTAAAATTAGTAGATAATGACATTAAAACAGGTATCTATGTTTGAAAAGGTAGAGGAAAGCATCAAATGAGAGACATGAAAGAGAGAGCAAAATGTGAAATCATCTTCTCGGGATTAATCAAACAAACATGGAAACAATGTCTTAGATGAAAACTATACTGGATGAAATCAAAAGCAGATTATCAATTGCAGTAAAAAAACAGTGAATGTAATTGTTTAACAATAGAAAGTATCTGAAATGAAAAATAAAAATGGGAAGAGAACATCAGTGGGATAACTTCAGTGGCCTATTATAAGGGTAACTGGATTCCCCAAAGGATAGGAGGGAAAAAAGTTTTCAGGAAATAATGTATGAAAGAATAGTTACTGAAAACAATTACATTTAATAAATTGAGCTCTCCTCAGCCTAATGAGTGTCAAAAGTCTCTTCTTTTCTTGGACTTTCTGCTGACCTGAACACTGCTTTGAGACAAGTCTACATGAAAAAAAAAATGAGGCAAAGGTAAAGAAAAGGAAACCTTCTCTTGGTCAATCAGATGAGATGGCTGAAAAGAATGCCAAATCCTCACCACAAGTGATGGAGTGAATGGTCACCTTGGTCCAGAGTGAGAAGACTGTGAGCCTCAGGATGGTTCTAACACAGGATTACCCACTCACCTGGCTGCAGTCCCTGTAATTCAGACCCATCTTTAGGGCTTTTCCTCGGATCCACGAGTCAGCTTCCTGTTTTCTCTTATACTCCTCCTGTCTCGGATCTTCTTAGTCTCTCTCTAAGCTCTACAGAAGTGTCTTCTTTGTTGTTTCCTTATATACTTTATACCTACCTATGAATTACCATCCCCTGAATGTTATGGCTTCTACGAAAGATAATGCAATAATTTTATTTTTCTTTTGAGACGGAGTCTCGCTCTTTCGCCAGGCCGGAGTGCAGCGGCACTATCTCGGCTCACTGCAAGCTCCGCCTCCTGGGTTCACGCCATTCTCCCGCCTCAGCCTCCCAAGTAGCTGGGACTACAGGCGCCCGCCACCGCGCCGGGCTAATTTGTTGTATTTTTTAGTAGAGACGGGGTTTCACCGTGTTAGCCAGGATGGTCTCGATCTCCTGACCTCGTGATCCGCCCGCCTCGACCTCCCAAAGTGCTGGGATTACAGGCGTGAGCCACCGCGCCCGGCCAATGTTTGTAATCTAGTTATTTCTTAGGGACCACCAGCACTCACTCTTGTCTGTGTTTAGCACAAAGAGCAAGGGGCAGAGTACTCATCAACTCAGGAGGAGGAGGAGTCAGTAGAGAAAGCATTCATGAAAAAAGGCTTACATCTCAGCAATTTCTAGGCACAAAAGACTTATGAAATTCTAATATTTTATTTTGACAGAGTTCTTCTTTAGCATTATGTTAGATACAAAAATAGATTTTGAAAAATCATTTTATAATAATTATAGTATTTGCCTATCTGTTTATGCCACGTAAATTCTATGTATAAATAGGTGGAGAGGTAGTCACAATATTGGGGGGCATGTTGCATAGTATCTTGCACCATAGCTCACTATCTTTTACATAATACGCTTTAGTATGTTCAGTAAAACACTTTTAGTAAAGGGCTCAGAAATTATGACAGGGTAATACCAGTCATAGAATCAAGAAAGGCATCTAGTTTTATCTACAAAAGATTTTAGAAATAATCTTATAACATATCCACTAAATTGAATGATGAACATTAGACCACTTTTTATTCCATTATAATCTTATTTTCTCTCATAACGCTATCCATTAAAGTATAGATTCTATTGTAAAAGCTTCTAAAAAAGTATCAAATCTTCCTTTGTTCCATTCCAGCTAAGCTGTGTTTCCCACCTGTTCTGTGCTTGCTAAAAATATAATGAGAAAATAAATGACTATCTAAAGTTGTTTTACAAAAGACTGTATCATAGATCCTGTGAAATCCTTCCTGCTTTAAATCCTTTGAGTGGCTGGATATCTTGAAATGGCAAATGAATTGGCCACAGAACAGTGCACACTATTCAAGGTTTGTTCATGGAGTCTTATTTATCACAGTGATCTGTGGGCATGATAACATAATCTATACAGTGTTCATTTTTCTCTTAGGTGGTCTGGGCATTCTTCAACCATTTATTCAAACATTATCTTCTCAATTCCACCTTATAATTTTTATTTCTAAAGCGAAGTGAGCACAGACCAGATACCTGTACCTGGGTAGTGGTTTTCTAGGATACAGTAAAATGCAGGATACATTGAAGAGCAAATGGGTGCAGATGAATTGAAAACTCTTCCCTCTCCACGTCAAAGCCCAGTTGAAGGTTGGCATTTGAACAGAAAACATTCATAGACATGAATGGGGAAAGTTAATGCTCAGAGTTCACAAGTGAAATGAAACCATTCCTACTCACTGCTTCTACAAATCACTTTATAAGTGATCCTGAGGAATTCTTTCTCATCTCTCTCTCTCTCTCACTCTCCCTCCTCCCTCATCTCTTCCCTCTCCTATTCTGGCTGAAACTGGCACCTAAGTCAAATGTAGCTAAGCAAACAGTGTCTCAGTACGAGACAGATATATATGTATGCACAATACACATATATATTTACATGTATATATATATATACACACACACACATATATGTATTATTTTTTCCTAATTCTACCCACAAAAGAGGCACTAATACCTTAAGAGCCATAAGCGAATTTTGTGCCCAGATGGTTTTTAATACCTGTCCCTACTGAAAGGAACAAGAGCCTCTTGGAGAAATGTCTGGTTCCAGGGCTGGGACAAAGAAGGTACATGATGAAACTGGAACACCTTTTTGTGCCAGAAAGAAAGGGAGTGCTCAAGAAAACAATGGGAACATGTCAAAAAGAAATAGGCAATAGCTTGAAGGGGCTCCTGCTGACCAAATCTAGGGACAATTTGTCTATCAAAATAAATGAGGATTGCAACGATTAAATAAAATAGGATGATTAAATAAAGTAGGAAATTATTCATCTATTATAATAAGCAAACAAAGAGATACGCGCATACATAAATGGATAAATAAGCAGAGGAGAAAAGAGAACATTTCTTTATTTTATTTTATTTTTTTGAGACGGAGTCTCGCTGTCGCCCAGGTTGGATGCAGTGGCGCGATCTCGGCTCACTGCAGGCTCCGCCCCCCGGGGTTCACGCCATTCTCCTGCCTCAGCCTCCTGAGTAGCTGGGACTACAGGCGCCCGCCACCTCCCCCGGCTAATTTTTTTGTATTTTTAGTAGAGACGGGGTTTCACCGTGTTAGCCAGGATGGTCTCGATCTCCTGACCTCGTGATCCGCCCGCCTCAGCCTCCCCAAGTGCTGGGATTACAGGCGTGAGCCACCGCGCCCAGCCAAGAGAACATTTCTTTAAATTAGTGTGCCACCTGATACATGTGAAAGGAAGAGTCATGGAGTGGCCGGGTGGAGGGAGGCAGGGCGGGGAATACCATTTGCAACTATGGTGGTAAAAAATAATTTAGGCAAGAAGTATCAGGAGAATACTTATCTTTGGGAAGAGCTGGATGAGAAGCAGGCTGCTTGCGTGTTCTCAAAGTGTCTCTTCACAGACTGCTATTCATTACAAGGAGAAAAGTACTAACTAAACAGTGAAGAATGCAAATGACACTTTGACCTTTTGCTGCAAAGTAACCTCACCAATAAGAGGTATGTAGATGTCTTGTATTTGGGGGATATATGGTACCCCGAGAAGGACACCACATCACTGCTGCATTATTCCACTTGCAGCTGTATAACCAAGTCTAATCATGAGAACACATCAATCAAGCTCAAATGAAGAAACATTCTGTAAAATTACTAGCCTGAATTTTTCAAAACTCCCAATGCCATGATAAAGAAAGGCAGAGAAATGCTGATAGAATAAAGAAGGTGAAAGAGATAGAAAAACTAAATGCAGTATGTGATTCTAGACATGGAATATGGACTACATAGATTAGATGAAAATATTACTTCAGTGTTAAATTTCTTGAATTGTACCATCTTCAGATGCTTATTTGAGGATATTTAATTCAGTCTGGAGAGTTTTATTGCAGTTTATCTTTCTTCCTAGTTGGTTTGGGGGAAGAATTTCTTCAGCTGAAATGTTTTGACTCATATTTTCTGTTTTCTACAGCAGCTTTTATATTGCAGTTTTTGTAGTTATGTTTTTTATTCTGTTCCCAGGTATCATAGAAATGGAGTTCCTAGTTCTAGAGTATCCTTTTCTATAAATAGAGTAAAATGCAGTTTATTTAATAAGAGATGTTGGCACTTTGGGCAGAAAGGGAGTGGTAGGCACGTGGTACTTCTCTTTCATCTGGACATATTCCTTAATTTTACCTTCTTTTTTTCCTTTCTGTGCCATGACTCCTGATCAATCAAATAGACAACTGAAATTATTCACAGATCTGAAATGTTTTATTATTTCTGTTACCAGATTTGTAGCTCTTCAATGCATGTTTAACCTGTGCACATAGTCTAATTTTCACTGCTGGTGTTGACAGAAAAAAATATTTCAAAAATGGAAGCTGAGGGAGGCCGAGGCGGGCGAATCACGAGGTCAGGAGATCGAGACCATCCTGGCTAACACGGTGAAACCCCGTCTCTACTAAAAATACAAAAAAAATTAGCCGGGCGTGATGGTGGGCGCCTGTAGTCCCAGCTACTCGGGAGGCTGAGGCAGGAGAATGGCGTGAACCCGGGAGGCGGAGTTTGCAGTGAGCCGAGATTGCGCCACTGCACTCCCGCCTGGGCCACAGAGCGAGACTCCGTCTCAAAAAAAAAAAAAAAAAAAAAAAAAAATGGAAGCTGAGGATTGTAACATAATGTAGGTATATAATGGCAATGGCACTATTTCTGCTTTTCCTGTGCTTTGGGTCTACCTGAAGAGTAGTGTGCACTTGCTGTGAATGGTAGAGCCCACCTACATTAGGCTGATGATTTATTGTTGAAGTCAAAAAAACTAGTGAAATTTTACTGAGTAGACTCTTGATCAGCAGGGTAGCAGATGTCTCCCAGAATATTTTGCTTCTCAAATTTACAGGGCTTCTACCTTTCATAGAAAACCATCCTCACCTCTGACTCATGTGACTTATCTTCGGGTACTGCCTTCTCTTGGCAGTCTTTGGGACTACCTCAAAGCAGAATTCATCCTACCCTGCTCAGTGTTCCCTCGACTCTTCTTCCATTATATGGTAGTCCACTGGTGTCTCAACAGGTCTGTACATTATCAGACTGTGAGCTCCCTGCTCCCTCAGCCAGACAGAGATTGAAGAGGACACCATCTCTTTCAACTAAATTGTGTGAGGCCATTACAAATGGCCGACATTTGTAGGCCACTACATATGGGCTACTACTCACTTATGTTTTAGCCCAGCCCTTGAGTTTGTAAAGTGTGTTGGGTTAAATTTGTAGTTAGACAATTTAGCCGAGGGAAGCTTAAATGTTCTGTGTAGAGCAGTGGGAGAAATATGTTCTTGTTATTTTTGCTCTTCTTGAAACAAAAGAAACGGAAAAGGGAGAGAAGAGGTGAATAATAAATACGAAAGAGTAGAAATGCAGTCTGCAACAGATGACAGCAGACTGAAGCTAGAATCCAGACCAGGCCAAGGAACTTTATGATTTTAAGGAGGATGGGTAACACACAACTGGAGGTGTTAGCAGTGCTACAGTGGTCAGTTGTACACATTTTTTCTGGCCCTTGAAAACTTGAGTAAGTTCAGTTAAAACACACATAGCATGAGTAAGAATTTTGATTTTATGAACACTAAGGAAAATGCTGTGTTTGTTACATGATAGGGCAAAATAATTAGAAAAAGAACCCTACACATAGAACAGTTGCATAATTTTGAAACGAAGTTAAATCAGAGGAAATGTGGGGGGCAGGAGGAGAATGACCACAAAATTATAAGCCTACAGATAATTTGGAAAAATCCTGAGGAGGATTTTCAAGAAAATGTTCAGTGAAAGCTTGGAGCAATTTCATCTAGTGTTTAAGAAGAAGGATTTCCTTGCTGATTTCTATGATGTGTTTTTATTCATACACAGGTACAGCACCTACGTAGCACGTAATAGGCTATTTACTTAGATAGCAGGTGAGCCCAAGATATAATACCTGTACTTTAGCTGTTATCTTTAGAAATAAACATCTAATAGGATCTATTTTGGCACTGCAATGGAAACTATCAACATTGGAAAACTCCTAAGTAAGTGTTCAACAATAGAGAAATGACTAAACAAATTACAGTATATTTGCTCTATTTCGTACATGTCACAATCACAAGATTGAAATCCATCTATATAAGCTGACATGTTAAGTTCCCTTACACATAATGCCATGTGACAAAAAATATGTTGCCCTACTATACAACTGCCCTACTTATGCAAATGTTCAGAAAACTATGTATTAACAGCAATTGCCCCCAGTTGAAGGATTTGATTGGAGGGAAAAAAACAGATCTTCACTTTCCTCTTCCAATCCTTTTATGTTACACAAAATTTTGTCATGAGAATTTATATATATGCACACAATATCAATATATTTATATTAATATTTATCTTATTAATATATTTATATTAATACTTGCATAATTAATATATTATTGTTATATTTATATTTATATTATTGATATATTAGTAATATAATTATTAATATTACATTAATATTTTAACATATTAATATATAAATTAATACATGTATACTATAAAACAGAACATCTGTTTTTGGAACATGGTTAGTTGAGCTAATGCAAAATGCTTTCTGTTACAGTTAACATGGTGGAGAATTATAAAACTTGTGCATAGTGTTGGGAGTTCACAGAAAATAAATGGAGATGGCAACCCATAGATAGTGTGAAAAAACAGAAAGAGGTGAGATTGCATGACAAATGAGTACCATGTAAGGTAAACTTTGTTGGACTTATGACTCAGAAATAGGCTCTCAAAAATACAGGTTTGGAAGTCTCCTTTTATTCAACTTTACTGTAGAATTTCAGAAGGTGACATTCACTAATTCTACTTGTACAATTCAACAAGTTTTGATAGAAGCATAGTTACATAGGCCCTACCACATTCAACCCTTAAAACAATCCCAGCCAGAAACTCCTCTGGTGCCCCTATTCTATATATATATAAATATATATATAGAGAGAAATATATACATAGAAATATATATAAATATATATAGAAATATATATAAATATATATAGAAATATATACAAATATATATAGAAATATATACAGAAATATATAGATATATATATAGAAATATATACAGATATATATATAGAAATATATCTATATATTTCTACCATGCCCAGCTTCTGTGCCCAGGCTGGAGTGCAGTGGCACGATCTCAGCTCACTGCAATCTCCACCTCCAAGGTTCCAGCGATTCTCCTGCCTCAGCCTCCCAAGTAGCTGGGACTACAGGTGCCCACCACCACGCCTGGCTAATTTTTGTATTTTTAGTAGAGACAGGGTTTCACCACGTTGGCCAGGCTGGTCTCGAACTCCTGACTGGGAATCTTTAAATGAATTTTTGTCCTTGTAGTTTTGTGTTTTCTAGAATTTCATATAAAGGAAATCATACATGAAGAAGTAAGTAAAAAGCTAAGATTTTTACTTAGCATCATGCATTTTAAAGTAAGTCTTGTCTTTATATATATTAGTACTTCATTACTTTTTTTTTTTTGGTTAAATAGTATTTCATTTTATGGATATGCCCCAGTGAGTTTATTTATTTACCAATTAATGGACACTACAGTTGTTTTCAGTTTGGGGTTGTTCCATATAAAATTGCTATAAACATTCATGTACAGATACTGTACAGACATACATTTTTATTTTCCTTGGTAAAAACCTGGAAATGGAATTCCTCAGTCATACAATAAGTGCACGTATGAATTTATAACGTAAGTGCTAATTTATAACATAAAGTGCTAATCTGTTTTCCAAAGTGGCTCATCAAAAACATATGAGCGTTGGGTTGTTCATCCTTACCAGAACATGGTTTGGTTTTCTTATCTTTATTTTTATTTTAAATGTTCCAATAAATAGTGATATTTCCTTAAGATTTTAATTTGCATTCCCCTAGTGATTAATAATGTTGATCATCTTTTTGTTTGTCATCACTGTCATTGTTTTTTGGTGAAGTGTCTTTTCAAATATTTTACCTAATTTTTTTAACCAAATTGTTTGGCTTCTTGAGTTGTAAGAATTCTTTGTATATTCTGGATACAAATTCCTTATCTGATATATGATTTGCAAATATTTTCTCCCATTCTGTGGATTATCTTTTAATTTTCTTAATGGTGATATTTAAGAGCAGGAGTTCTTAATTTTTAGGAAGTCCAATTTTTCTACTTTTAATTTTTATTATTTATCTCATTTTCTTGCCTTATCTAAGAAATCTTTTCCTAACCATGTTCATAAAGATTTTCTCAAATATTTTCTTCTAGAAGTTCTAGAGTTTTACATGTTACATTCAGGCTTCTGATCTATTTCAACTTAATATTTCTTATAACAAGAAAGGTGAAGATCAAGACTCATCTTTTTTCATACGGTCACCAAGTTAATCAAGCATCATTTGTAAAAAACTCTCTTCTTTCACCATTGAGAATCAATCATTGTAGAATACTAGCTGACTATATATGTGTAGATCTATGTTTAGACACTATATTCTGTTCCAAATTATTCTGTACATTTCTATACTTTATCTCAATGCAACTTTATCTTACTATAGCTTTATAGTGTGACTTTAAGTCAAACCATATGAATCCTCCACATTTGTTCTTTTAAAATATTGTTTTAGTTATTCTCAAGGCTTGCATTTTCATATAAGTTTTTGAATCAGCTTGTCAGTTCAACAAAAATACCTGATGGGATTTTGATAGGGATTGAACTGAATTTATAAATGAATTTTGGGTAGAATTGAGATTTAAATAATATTTAGTCTTTTATTCCATAAACATAGTGTATCTCTCTATTGCTTTATTTTATATTGATTTTTTATCAATGATTTTTAATTTCCAGCACACAAAGCTTGCTTATATTTTACTAGATCTATTCTGAATAATTTCATGTTTTTGATATATTGCAAATGGTATTATGTTTTTTAATTTCAATTTTCAGTTATTTTTAGCTCATATACAAGGGTGTGATTATATATATATAAACATATATTATATATATAATATAAACATATATAAACATATATATATATGTTGACCTGGCATTCTATGACCGTGGAAATTTCACGTTTAAATCAGTTTAGCATTTTTGTAGCCTTTCTGAGATTTTCTAAATAGCTAATTATAACATCTGTTAATAAAGACAGTTTTGTTTTTCCCAGTTTGCATGCCTCTATCGCTTTTTCTTCCCTTATTCTTTTCACTAAGACCTCAGCCTAATGTTGAATAGAAATGGTGAGAAAAGACATCCTTACCTTGTTCTCAACCTTAGGGGTACTCATCAGTCTTTCACAATTTAGTATTGTATTTACTGTAGGTTTTGTCAACTTGAAAGTGTTCCTTATCTTTCTGATTTGCTAAGATCTTTATAACCATAACTAACAAATGTTGAATTTTATCAAGTGCATTTCTGCATGTATTGAGATCCTCCAGGTGCTGGGATGTCAGTGCTCCTGTTGCAGGGCCAGGCAACAAGATTTGTATGTGTTTTCACACAAAAAGCTGAATCTAAGCTGCCTACATAGGCCCAGGAATAAATGCAGCACCCTCAGTTGACGGGGACTAAAAAATTCCTCCTGGCCGGGCGCGGTGGCTCACGCCTGTAATCCCAGCACTTTGGGAGGCCGAGGCGGGTGGATCATGAGCTCAGGAGATCGAGACCATCCTGGCTAACAAAGTGAAACCCCGTCTCTACTAAAAATACAAAAAATTAGCCGGGCGCGGTGGCGGGCGCCTGTAGTCCCAGCTACTCGGGAGGCTGAGGCAGGAGAATGGCGTGAACCCGGGAAGCGGAGCTTGCAGTGAGCCGAGATTCCGCCACTGCAGTCCGCAGTCCGGCCTGGGCGACAGAGCAAGACTCCGTCTCAAAAAAAAAAAAAAAAAAAAAAAAAGAAAATTCCTCCTCTCCAGTTGGAGACGTGACAAGGAATCTCGGTTCTGCTCTGATTCTGCACACCGAGCACATAATCCAGCCTCAAGCAGATTTTGAACTCTAATCTGAAATACAATCATAATAATAGAGTTCCTGATTTCAGACATTAACATCGAAGTTGTTTTTGAGTTCATTATAGAATCAAAGGCTAAAATATTCTGAAGAGACATTTCTGCCATACAGGCCACATGCTATCTTTAATTGAGAATAATGGAAGCTAACTCTCCTAAACTCTTCTTACTGTATTGAAATTTAAGTAGACTATATGATAGAGCATATATTTTTTCATTCATTCAACAAATATTTATTGAATGTGTCTGTTAGGGGTCCAGGCATTTTTCAGGCTCTGATATGATGAAAGGAAAACATGAAAAGCCGTCTCTTGTTCCAAGGGGAGATTATTATTATTATTTACATGGTACTGCAGCCAAATGTGTTCATCTTATTAGAGTACATATTGATTGAGTATAACATGATAGCCTCTCTTAGGTTATAAAGTACTTTTATATCCTAAAACGTTTGTGAGACCTTTTCTAAATAATCACTAATAATCTAAAATACATACATATATGATTTTATATATATATCTTCACTTCATTATTATTTTCACTAAGAATATACAAAACTGGCTTTGTTCTAGGAAGTTACTTTGCTTTGTGATATTTCTGCGTTTATTTATCCTCTGTACACCTCTTATTACATAGAATTATGCTGAGTTGCTACAAATGAAATAAGCCAATTTCTATACATTATTTGTTTTGTCAAATAACACCATGTTCAGTCTTTGCAATGTGTCTATTCTTCTGGGGTTATTTTAAGATACATGCTTCAGTTTATATTGATAGCACCATACTAATCATTTTATAAAAATATATGAAATTTAATTGCTGATGTTCAATATTAGACATATTTTATGCTATTTTATCCACCAAAGCAAAGCCTTCTCCTAGTGCAGATCTGAGTAACCACCATTCCCCTCTGCTATCAAATATTTCCAAATTAATTAGTTATTTCCATGTTTTTGCCCTATTTTGATTTGTCCAACTATTTAATTTCGAATTAAACTCATTTCACTTAAGTTACAAACCAAGCGGATGTCTAGATTTGTTGTTTCCAGATTTATTTCAGACATTAAGAAAGTTATATTCTGTCTTTAATATATTTAACAGAACAAAACTCAAGTTGTCGTTTTGCTAATTATTCGCTATATAGATTAAAACATTAATCCCTGTTAAAATCATGCTATTTAGTACTAAGTTTTTTTTTGTTTTGTTTTGTTTTTAGGCGGAGTTTTCGCTCTTTTCGCCCAGGCTGGAGTGCAATGGCACGATCTTGGCTCACCGCAACCTCCGCCTCCTGGGTTCAAGCGATTCTCCTGCCTCAGCCTCCCGAGTAACTGGGATTACAGGCACGCGCCTCCACGCCCGGCTAATTTTGTATTTTTAGTAGAGACGGGGTTTCTCCGTGTTGGTCAGGCTGGTCTCGAACTCCTGAGCTCAGGGGATCCGCCCGCCTTGGCCTCCCAAAGTGCTAGGATTACAGGCGTGAGCCACCGCGCCCGGCTAGTACTAAGTTTTGTTGGATGAAGGGAGGATCAAACTGGGGCATGTCATTTTTTGACAACAGAGTTAACTGAGTGAGTGGCTCTCAATGGTTCATTACGTGTAACTTTCCTCTAACACTGTTACATGCGAGCTTCCGGTAGGAGTGCCTTCTCATGGAGAGGGTGGTTATTCATCAGTCAAGAGGATTTAAGTGTGTATAATCACCAGCTAGAACGTTCAGTATGCAACAGGCTTCCTTCTGCCTTCATGTGCAATAGTGGTCTTTAAAGCTGGAGCTTTTGCTGAATGTTGTTGATATACTACAACAATATCCAGAAAATGCACTCTATTTCCTCGCTAATCCAAAGCAGACAATGGCATACTTCTAAATTAATAAGAACACTGAAAACCACAAACATTTAATTCCAAAATCTTGTTGCTGACATTAGGATACATGTAAAAATTTAATCCAAGTTCAACTTAAATTCTTCCATCAGTTTTTGTTTAGTTGCTGTGGAGTTTTATAGGAAATTCAGATAGCTATAGGTTTCCCCTATAAGTTCTCTTCAATAATTTGATTCCTGCCAATAATAAATCTGTCCATCATGGTAAGTGATGCTTTTGTTATTCACATTGCCTTATGTTTATTTAACACAAAACTCCATTTGTATATCTCCACTGGAATCCTTGGTAATTTGTGATTGTCTATTAAATTGTGTTTTAAAATTGGCATTGAGTTTCAAATCATACTGTATAAACTGCCAATGGTATGACACTCATTGTTTATTTTAAAGCCATGATAAGGATAATTCCCTTTTCTGCTAAATGGACTCAGTTCCAAGTAGAATTACAAGGAACAACAAAATGTCTTTTTTTATTTAATTTAATTTAATTTTATTATTATTATACTTTAAGTTTTAGGGTACATGTGCACAATGTGCAGGTTTGTTACATATGTATACATGTGCCATGTTGGTGTGCTGCACCCATTAACTCGTCATTTAGCATTAGGAATATCTCCTAATGCTATCCCTCCCCCCTTCCCTCTACAAAACGTCTTTGAAATAAACTTTGTAGTAGAGAACAAAGTAAACAATCCTTGATAAGAATCAAGAAATTTAGATTATCCTCCTGGCCAAGCAACCACCTGCCTGTAATTTTGTAAAACAAACTTGGCTTCATTGATGTCTCTCTCCTTGTCAGTAAAGGAAGAGAGAAATAATTGAATTC